>NC_000014.9:30520803-30823834 GCF_000001405.40 Homo sapiens
TTTCCCAGAATAATAGACCCAAGATTTTTTGATGTGCTGCATAGAAGTTCTTTGTTGACCCAAAGAATATATCAGCCTTCTGTTTTTACTCTCTAGTTCTATTTGCTGATTTTTGTTAATATTTATAATAACAGAAATAGTAGGTGAGGGAAAGCAGGAGAATAACAGATCCATTTAAATCTTTACTCTTTGTTTTTTCAGTGCTTCTTGTTCTTTTTCTTGGGGATAATTAGAGATAAATGGTATGGTATTATATTTGCTTGGATAGCAATACAAAAATGCCTATTTCCATCATTTTCAGTAATAGACTTTCAAGCTATATTTTCCTCAAACTTGATCCTCATTATTCCAGTAATATTTAAGCTATTAATTTCTCCAGAGAGTGCTTTTTGAAAATGGTAAATTATAAGACAAATCCCAAAATTACATTTTCTTTAATTTACAGTATTGTTCAAGCTCTACTGTTAGCATAAATGAATAGTCTGAACTGCAGTCTGAAATAAAGCCTTGAGCATTAAACAGTTGGCTTGGAAACAGAAACATTAAGAATATGATTGAAATTTTTTTACAGAAGATGAAATAACAGCATGCGCAAAAGCTCATTTATGATAATTCTAACATTTCTGCTACAGTTACAGAAAAGTAACAACATTTACCAAAAAAAGAAAGAAAAGAAAGAAAGAAAGGTGAAGGGTTTCACTTTCTAATCAACTGCAATGATATCAATTTTGCCCTTACTGAAAAGTGATTTTCACAGTTATAGAAATTTAATTTTTTTTCTGAGTTTCAAATTTGCCTTTTGGAAGGAACACAAAACAGGGCTTTTCAAAACAAAAGTCAATTGAAGCAAAAGTTTTTGTACTTGATGTAGGCATGTTGTAAACACATAACAATAGCAATAAATACAGTCAAACAGCATGATACTCAGAAAGACAATGAAGTCTATAAAGGTCTACAAACATCATATTTATTTTATTATAAAAAGGCATTAATTATGCTAATATGTGATGAAATCATATGAAATTCAAGGTATATTTAAAATCATTTGTTTAATATGTTTTATTTCATACTAGTTATGTCTGTTCCTTTATTTTTGTTTTGCCTTTTTTACGGGTGGGATTTGAAAAAGGAAGATAGAGAATACTTTTTATAAAATTATAAAGAAGACCAATCTTCTTGAAAATATTGATAATCTGATAAATTGCCAACAATAACCATCTGAGGCCTAAGCAAGCGTTTGTGATTCTTCAAACGAAAAGCTTCAAATTCACTCCAACTAAGAAAATCACTTCCTCCATCTAGTGGTGACTGATTGTAATGCTACCGAATTCTAGAACACTTTTCAACTTTTTTAAAATGTCGTTTTGTTTTTATACCTATGCTTGGGTCAGATAATTGTATTTATGTGGGAAATTAGGCTAAATTGTGTTAGTTTTCTTAAACATTTTACTACAATCTGAAGAAACACGGCATTACTATCTGCAATATTTTATCTCTGAGCCAAAATGCATAAAACATAGCCCTTACCATTGTAGGGCTTACAATTGAGCTAGGGAGACTTGACATATATGTATGAAAGGATAAACTAAAAAGAACACACATGAACTCTCAAATGGGTGATAAAGGCAATGTCAGGGCTCAGAACGCAATGCTCTAAAACATGGCATCTTGGCGTACTGAGTATTTTCAGCTGAAGGAAATTGAGAAAACCACAAAGCAGAAGGTCTCTCTCACCTTCTCTCTTGAAGGCCTTCATGTGACAGGTGTCCTGGAGGGGAGAAATGTTTCACAGAGATGCTAAAAAGAATCTGAACAAGCAGGCCTTGCTAAGTTTCCTCCCAACTTCCCCCTCCCCGCCCCAGTTTATTACCAATAGATCATGACTTTTGATGGTCATCATTGCTTGAAAAAGATTTGGCAGAATATATGGAACTGAAATGGCCTTTATTAAAGAGATAGAAGGAATTACATAACCAGGGAAGACTAAGAAAGGCATTTCAGACAAAAGGAACAGTTACAAACTGTTACAAGAGACAAGATAGATGCCTCCAATTCTGAAATCTTTGGAAGACAATGGGTAAGTCGTGTTCTGCAAAAATGGGTCTATGTGTTTGGTCAAGAGGAGTGAGAATGGAGTAGAAAGTAAAGTCGTTATAGCTATTGTAGATATAATACAGAGATTTTGTAGAGGGTCTTGAATGTCAAGATAAAAATGCTGGACTATATATTATTAGAATGAACCTCAGAAGTTCTAATGGTGGCATCAATGGACCATACATGGTTTATAATGGGCTTTGATGTGTCCAATAATTTCTTGAAATAATAGAGAAAAATATCTTTACATGTGCACATATGAATTTCTCTAGAAAGAATGTCCATAATTGTCATCAGATTCTCAATGGGGATCATTGCTCTGTTAATAGGTTTTGAATAGCAAACTGACATATTGAGTTTTGGAAAGATTCGTCTGACATTGATGTGTAGGATAGTTTGATATGGGCAGATAACTTATTCTTCATATTTAGGCTGATCCATCCCCCCAGCACAATATGCTGCCCTGGTTACTTGGTACTTTACTTCTCCCCTCTCTGGGCACTCAGTATTTCTTTATAAAATATTTTAAGTCTTTAACTAATTCTATGATAATCTATAGATCCATATACACGATCTCATCAAAAATAGCCTTAAGCATTCATAAAATTTAGATTTGGTGAGTACCGTGTATTTTTCTCAACACTGAGGTGCTTTCTGTCTGCACTTATATTTATATTTGGGATTCAGGCCTTTAATGATAGCAGTCATCATAAAAGTTTCCATTTGTTGAAGACTATATGCTAGGCACAAAATTAAGTATATGTGTTCAACAAATACTTACTGAGTGCTTTTTATGTGCCAGGTAGGTCATAAATCTTACAATAATCTAATGAGTTATATTCCCAATATATCCAATATGAGTTACAGTCCCCTGACTTTGTACATGAGGAACCTGAAGTTTAGGAGTTAGGCAACATTCACATCATCACCTTTTTCATAGCTAGTACAGCTTTGATTTCAACCTAGATATCTTTGATTCAATAAGCTGTGTCAAAGGTGGAACTAAAAAAGTATTTGGTCAGGATGCAAGATTTCTGAATGCCTGTATCTTGTCCTACCATTACCTTACCTTTCCTTCCTTTCCCTTTCCTCCATCCAACCAAGCTTTATCCTCCCTAGCCCCTTTCCATAACAAAAATGCCCAAGGGATACAAGCACAGGGCCCAAAGCCAGGTAAATGTACTTTTTTACTCTGATGCTTTTGTCCAAAGGTCCAGTGTCTGAACTAATCAGGAATCAGTGGCCAAGGCCCTTTTCATAGCTTGGTAGTCCCCAGACTGCTTTCCTAATAAACTATCTGAAAGTTGTTAACTGGTATTGTACCAGAGAAAAAGTAGTATCTTTTCCTCACCCATTGCAAGGCTCATGGCTGAGGCCCCCGTAAAAAAAACACAGATTAACAAGAGAAAAGTTTACAAATTTAAATTCATGTGACATAGGGAGCCTTCAAAAATAAAGACCCAAAGAAACAGAAAACGTGCATGTTTCCATGGTAGGGTTTGATGAAGAGTAGACAATTGTGTAGAAGTATGATTGGACAAAGAGGGTAAGATCTAATGATAATAAAATCAGGGGAACTTAGCAAGGCCTGCCTGTTCAGATTCTTCTCGGTATCTCTGTATTTTCAAGGCTAAGGATGTTCCTTTTCTCCAGATAGAGGGAAGGTATGATCTGCTTCAGGGGAGAAGGACGAGAGGAAGATGAGAATGGCCTTTCTGCTTGTGCTATTTTTTCAAATGCCAAGGTGTCATATGTTGGGGTAGCATGTCCTAAACTCCACCAGTATGCAAAATTAAAGTATTCCATAACCAAAAACATCAGAGAAGTACTGCACTGCATAGTTCCCTCTTGGGGTTTAAATGTGAATATTCACAGATTAAAAACTGAGAAGCCTCACAGGAAGATAAAGATGGGTAAATCTGCTCAAGACTGCTTTTCTCAAGTTTGTTTGACCAAGAATTTTCTTATCTTAAAACTCCTAATAGGGAGCAGAATAATGTCCCATGTCTGGGAAACAGTGGCTATCACAACAATAGGCTACAATGCTAAAAACAGGCCTCCTCCAGTGTTCCATTGCAGGAAAGCCTTCAGCACTTACAAAATTGACTTTCTCTGACCCCCAAATATTTCATGTGTTCACTTGTCCTAAATGCCAGACATTCAGCATGTGGCATAAGAATATGAGTACAAGCCTCACACTCATGAAAAATTATAAAACACAAATTAAATGTGATCACTGCTTCAGCACTTTACAATGTAAGCATCAATTACTTGTTAACTATGATTTCCCAAACAAACCCAATGTAATTGAATCAGGAAATATCAATATCCAGACCCACATGATTCTTACTAGCCATAAACTATAACAAAAAAAAAAATCAAAGAGAAAAAGAAAAAATCCTGGTTTCAGCTTCACTGGGGTGCTCGCCGATCTATGCCCGCTGTCATGAGTGCCCCACCTGTGAACGTAAATTTCACTTGGAAGATAGAGCATGTAAGGAGGTTAACTGTGACCTAGAATTTCAAATCTGAGGGGACGGGGGAGCAGATGTGGACTCCAACGCTTATCCACACTGCCTTTCTCTAGAGAGTACTTGAAACACTCCTGTTTTCTTTGGGATTTTAGAAATTGCATTTCTGGCACCTCCACTAGCAATTCTTTCCTGAAACCCCATTCTCCACCTCACATCTATCCCATATATTTAAAACCTCAAGTTTTCTCTACCTTTCTTTGGTCTCTGCATTCCTGGCACCAAACTCTGAAGTGACCGAAAGTTCCCTCTGAGAAACAGCGAAACAGCGAAACAGCGAAACAGCTCCCATGCCTAACTTTTGTATTTTTAGTAGAGACAGGGTTTCACTATGTTGTTTGGCCAGGCTGGTCTCAAACTCCTGACCTCAGGTGATCCGCCTGTGTCAGCCTCCCAAAGTGCTGGGATTATAGGCGTGAGCCACCACACCTGGACCATGCCTTCTTATGAGCAAGGAAAACCACATTAATATTAGGCAATTTGCATAGCCGTAATCTGATGCACTCTCTCTGTTTCTTCATCCCCAGTGGTATTCCTGGTTGTGGGTAGCCTAGGGCTGTCAGAGAGGCCTTGTTCCCACATTGCTTCAGCTGGAAGGAATGACCCAGGCCAGTGAACTGGTCTGCTATTGGTGGTGTGGCTCAAGGGATCTAATGCTATGCATGTGCTCATAATACAACCCAGATCTGCACTGCTGCTTTCAGCTGAAGTCCATAACAGAGGCATCTGGAGAAAGCAGACCCCAAAAATGGGAGAGGAAAACAAGAAAAAGCCTCATGCTTTCAAGCTTGCTAGAGTATTTGTTAAGTTCACATGGAGAAACAACAATCTTTGCAGTGAAAAACTGTAGAAGGAATTATCATAAGAGTATTTTTATCACCGTTACTTGCTAAGTTAATGGATTGTGCTTTAATTCTTGAATGGTAGAAAATACTAAAAGAGCTGATGAAGTTCTCGGCCTTAAAAGACACAGTCTCCGAACTTCTCTAATTTTATTTTGATACTTATATGTGTCCCACAGTAAGTATTTGCTGCTAACACTACATAATGAGTGGCAATCTCAAAGTTACAATAAATTATGCATAATTTAGTCTCTTAGAAGGTCTATAAATACAGCGTGAAGTGTTCAGCTTGTTATTTGATGCAACATCTGAAATCAGATTGCTCTGATGCAAATGTTTATCTCAATGTTATAATTGTGGCATGAATTCTTCTGAATTTATTTTGTTTGCAAAGAGCATTTTATTAATTAGTTACACCAGTCTCAAGGGTATTAGGTTTTTTAGAGCCATCAGTGTCAAAACTTCTGCAAATATAAAATTATAACTCATTTTTAAAAGAAAATAAGTTTTACGAAATGATTTTTAAAATACCATTTGAAGAGCATAATATATTCCTAGGGGGTATATTTTCCAAACATTTTGAAGCATTGAAATATTTATTAATATTACTATTTATTGCTTATTATCATCCCATGTTGTTTTTTTTTTGACAAAAATTAGAGTACACAGGTCTTTGCATCCAGTTGTGATGAACTAAAATGTAAAACCAAGAAATTTTACCTTATTTTATGAAAAACTTGTCTATGATTCTTGCTTTTTTGTTTCATTTATACGTATTATCAAGCTATCAATTGTGTTGAATTTTAATACAGGAATATATTGCCTCCATTTGTTCCTATTTATAGGCACAACTTCCACTATTGGAAAGCATATTTTGTATGTTGTTAGGTTTTAGCCCAAGCTGAGGTTTGAGGGGAGTTGGTGGACAGGTGGCAGGTAGCTGGAAAAACACTTGAGGAATTGTAGGCAGTTGCAACATGACTTTATTTTTGGTGGGGCGTTAGCCATATATACAACATTAGCTATATCTTTTACAAACAATAGTGGCTCCAAGCTAAGCACGAGCTATGTGAGTGGTTACCTAATGTGCCTTACATGGAGTGGTTGCATAATGTGTGGGGTTGCGCACCTGCGCTCCAAACCGGCTGAGTTATTCTTCACTGGAAGGCCACCTCAGCCTAATCCTGACTAAAGTGCCGCCATCTCCCTTACACTCCACCAGTTAGGCCAAGGGCATTTTTTGGGTAATGACACATGCTCATAGAGCAGAGTCCTGAATTTATAACCTCCTAGGATTTTAGCTATGCTACTTATGACTATTCGGGCCCAGCATAGGCTAGAGCCCAGGAATGTTTACCATTTTTGCGGGGGGTTTGTAGTAAGGCTTTTGACCACCTTAATTTTTCACGGGACCCCTTGCAGGGCTGCTGTTATATTTTGCTGATTATTAGGTATAAAAGTACAACATTGTGTTTTTAAGAGGGCACAGGTGCCTTCTTGGGCAGCAGTTACTATGTTTAAGGCCATTTGGTTCCAAAAGGTAACACCACCTTTTGATTTAACTTTATTAACAGGATGAAGGCCACTTGCATGTAATTTAGAGCCTGAGCAGTCTGCTTTGCAAGAGAGGTAACTTGTGCTTTTACACTTATGATGCCCGCTTTAGGAACAATTAATGCCAAGGAGTAGAACCACCAGGGGCTTGTGGCCTTTGCAAAAACCAAGAGCGTAGTGCTTTTCAGTTATGTGGGTGTTGGGGCAATGTGGGGAGAACAGTAGCAGGTACATAAGGCCACCCCCAGGTACAACGTTTAGTTCAGTTTGCTGTAGGTAAGGCTATCCTGTATTTTTACAAACCCATAAACTCCCAGGGGGCACAAAGTTTAGTGGGGCCTGATCTTGGCGGGGCCACTTGTCTCAACAAACCTTTGGTGTAGTGACACGTGTTATGTTTGCAGAGGCCATGACGGGTACCCATTCCACAGTGGTGTTACCATAATGTTGCTTTGTGCACTTCAGCACCAGGGCCAGGGGTACTATATGTTCCCCCACTAGCCAGCCCCACCTATTACAAATGCTACGGGCCAGTTAGGGGTTGGGCATGCCGTGGGCTTTGCAGCTTTCTTTCTTTAAAGCTTGCTGTGTTGTGTTCCAGGTGTTAGCTATGGGACCCCAAGTTTTTAGCCATGTTTAGTTTTTGGCAGACACTGAATGTATATGCCAAGGCAAGCCATTTGCAGCTGCTGCAGGAAGGGCAGTGCAGATTTAAGAGTTGGAAACATTGATTATGTTAGCATTAAGTGTGGGCCCAGTTTACAAGGCAATTGGAGCATGGTAACCTATGGTTGAAATGACAGAGCAGGCACAGGTACTAACAGAGGTAAATTACATTTTTTAGGCAAAATACAGGCTAACTTTTTATTCCTGGATAAAAATGCAGCCGCCAAGGGCTTCTGCCCTGGGTGATGGTACTACACCTTTTTAGCTCCCCATGGTTTCCTTGGGTTTTGTATTTGTCCCAAAGTTACGAGGGAGCTTATAATAGGCCACACAGATAGTACATATGTTTACTGGAGAAGAGTTGTTTCCTGTCTGTTTTTCTACAAACAGTTGACCGCAGAGGCCATGTACTGAACACTTAAGGAGTGACATGCAAGTTATGCTGTAGGCCCTCCCCACAGGGAGCTTCAGTGGCCAACCACCCGTAACTGGGGGCTTGGAGGGTTTATGGCCGTAGCCAGGTTGTTTCCCTGCCTTTGGGGGTGCTGCAGCAAGCAACAACAAACTACTGTTTGTTTTTATACCTGGTTGGAGAAGGTTATTTTTAGTGTGTATTTGCAACTGAATGGGGGGTGGTTGCTTGGTGTAACAATGCCTTTACAGGGCGAGCTGCCTTTCTGTGGCCACTTATTTAAGGTTTGGAGCACCAGGTTTAGCCTGGAACTTTAGCCCTGCAAAGAAGGGGGTGTGACATGCAAGTGTAACTTATTTTTTAAGAGCCCTTTATGTTTTTAAATTATACCCACAGTTTGCGGGTTGTACGGCACATGGAATTCCCACTTTATGTTTATTTGTTGTGCCCAGTGTTGTACCTGTTGTTTAGTAAAATGTGTTTTCCTGTTACTTTTAACAGCCAGGGGGAACCATACAGGGCACATAAGTGTTGAAGGGCTGGGATGGTGTGCTGTTGGTCAGCCACCCTACAAGGGTAGGTGAACAACAGGCCTGTGACCGTGTTTACCGCTGTTAGCGCATGCTTATACCTTTGAGACGTTGGCAGTAGCCCGATGTAGTTTGCTTGCCACCTGGTTAAGGGCACTTGCTGTATTGTTACTTGTGTAACACTGGGCAGCTGCCTCCATTTAGGGTATGCCTGAGCACAAGCCGGGCATTTTTGGCAAGCCTCCCAAATATTTCGCGTGGGCAGGGACAGACCCCAACACTTATTGACTTGTGGTGTTAGTTTACCCCCTGCATGTTCCAGTTTTTGGTGTAGCCACAAGGCCACATTTTGTGTAGATGCTGACTTCAGCCACTGGACCTTAGTCAAGGCATCTGCCTTATTATTGCCAGGGGTGGCCAAAAGCACATGGCTTGACAAATGATAAATAGTTACACTTTTTTGATAACCCATTTTTCAGAGGTTTTGCCACATGGCTTGGCCCCAAATGGATTGGTGGCTGACTAGCCAATTTTGTATTTTTAAAGTAGTTAACCATAAGGTAGACCTTGATAGACTCCCCAGCTATTGGTACAGATTACCATAGGTGGTTTTTTTTTTTTTTTTTTTTTTTTGGTGATTACTATTTACACTGCTTTAAGTTTAGCCCATTGGCTACTTTGTTTACACCTGGCTTCAAACCACATGGTGTTGGTACTAGGTTGGACTGCAACAGCAGTTTAAGCAGCAGTAGCACCTTGGCTAGACCCATTTGTGTATCATGCCCCATTGGGAATCGGCGGATGCCCTTCCTTAAATACTGAAGGCTTGGCGTTTAAGGGTGCTTTAGGCTGACCCCTGGCCTTTTTTGTGTGTTAGAACTACAGGTTTGAAGACTTTTTGCAATGTTGCTGCTACGGGGCTTGTACTTAGAAGTTCAGCTTCTACCTTCATCACTATACTGAGAGCGTAGTGGTTAGGACTACCTGGGTTGGAATCACGGTGCAGCCAGCTTACACCTGTAATGCTTTGCACAATGCTGTTCACCTCCATGTACTCAGTCTCCTCGTCGGTAAAGTGGAGATCATAATTATACATGCTTGCTGGGATTACTGTGGAAGTGAAATGAGTCAGCGTATATTCAGTATTTGGAACTTGCCTGGTACATAGTCAGTATATATACAGCATTCGGAACTTTCTCATACATGTCAGATAACATTGTTTCTAAAGTGTCTAGTGACTAATTTTCAGTTCTTACATTACTGAACTTTTCTGAGACATCTGCAACTTTAAATCAGTCCCTTCCTTGGAATTTATTCTCCCCTTTTATGTTTATGAGACCTTTTGTTCCTGATCGCCCCTTCTTCTCTAATCTCGCTAAGTCTTCTTAGCTGTCTCCTTGATTTCTACTGGCAGTGTTTCCTTGGATACTTTTTTCAGACCTCCTTTATTCTTACTAAATATCTTCTCTCCGAATGACAGCTTCCATTTTCATGGCTGCTACCTGTATACCAATGACTTTAAACTGCTTTCTTCATCCCTGAACTTTCTTGAGCTCCGGATCTTAAATGTTGACAACCCTGATGTCTTAGCAGTTTGGGGTCTACTCAAAGCCCAGTTATCATTGATGAGGTCTATAAAACATTTATAGAAGAATTAATGCCAATTCTAGAGAAACTCTTACATATAATCAATGAGAAAGGAATATTCCAAAATCACTCTCGAAGAGGCCAGTATAACCCTGATGCGAAAACCTAACAAAAACATTAAAGTGTTAGAGTGTTTGAGAAAAGTGAAAATTACCTTTCTGATAAAGACTATGTGAAGATCTCTCGAAACTAAGCAATAGGAAAATTAACAACTCAATAAAAATGAATGAAGGATTTGAACACATATTTCATGCACATGGAAGAGGCCCAACGTCATTAATTATTAGGGAATTGCAATTTAAAACCACCATTAGATGCCACTACATACCTACTAGAGTGGCTGAATTTTTAAAATCATACTGATCATACTAAGTATTGGCAAGGATAAGGAAGAACAGGGACCCTCATACATTGCTAATGGAATGTAAAATAGTTGTACCATTTTGGAAAGCCTTTGAGTAGTACATACTCCTACAAGGTAATCCAGCCATTCCACTTTTAAGTATTTACCCAAAAGAAATCAAATCATATAGTTATACCTGTTACTTGCACTTAAATGTTATAGCAGCTTTATTTGTAGTAGCCCAAAACTGGAAACATCACAAACGCCTATTAATAAATAAACAAATTGTGTATTCATACAATGGAATACACAAAACAATAAGGATGATGCATCTCCAAATAATTATGCTGTGTGAAAGAAGCCATACCCACTGATTCCATTCTTATAAAATTCCGGAAAATGTAAACAAATCTATAGTGGCAGGCAGCAGATCTGTGGTTGCCTTGAGACAGAAAAATAGGAAGGAAGGATTACAAAAGGATGTAAGAGGAAACTTTTGGGGATGACAGATGTGTTCATGCTATGTTCGTGTCTTGATTGCGGTGGTGGTTTTACAGGTGTATTTATAATATGGGTAGTTTATTGTATGTCAATTATACCTAAGGAAATCTGCTAAAAATAGATTTAACAAGAGAGACAATAGCTTAGAGATTATTTTAAAAAAGATTCTTTTAAAGGGTTTTAAGTGACTGAAGATGAATTCCTGAAATGGAGGTAATTTTGTCGAATAAATATATAAATATAAATGCTTACTCTTTATTATAGAATGTATATAATATATGTATTTTTATTACATTGCCAGCTCATGAACAGCAAACTCAGTTATGACAATAATTAAATTCTCATCATTGATATATTCCTTTCAGTCATACAAAAATTATAGCTTTACACATTTTTTAAATGTTGTAAATGAAAGTATATTTGTCAAGTAGAAGGTCATAATATATTTTATTTAACAGCCCCAAATCATAAAACTTTTCAGTTGGCAATATGCCAGAAAGACTTGCGAAACTGTTTGAGGTCAAGGGTCACGGTGTATTTCAGTTGTGCCTATCAGATAGATCGAGCCATGGCGAGAGTCACACTGTAATCCCATTATGCCATAGCTACACCTTCTTGTCGGATGCTCCCAGGGATTTATATGCATAAAGGACAAGGCCAGGTAAATGTATACTCTTTGTTACCATGAGAGTTTTTCTCCAAACTCAAGTCTTCTAGCAAGATGTGCATCACCCACTGTCTTTTTTTTTTTTTTTTTTTTTTTTCCTAGGCAAGAAACAGGCTATATTGGACATCCTTTACATCTAATGTTGCATCCTCTTGGCCCACTTCTTGGTCCCAGAACTGTTGTTACAACAAACTGTAGGAAGATGCAGCCTGGGAGCACCCCGTTTTAGACTTAGTAAGACTCTCTTGTTTTGTGCTAGACTTCTGTCAGCATGTGGGATGGCTTTAGAAGCTGTCTGATCCATTCTGGTGTACTAAAACAAACCATTGATAAATGGGAGGTACTATGGTTTTTGTGCCCACAAAGTCCATGTGTTGGAAACATAATCTATTGCAATAGTGTTGAGAGATAGGACCTTTAAGAAATGATTAGGTCATGAGGGGTCTGCCCTTATGAATGGATTAATGCCATTATCACTGGAGTGGGTTAGTTATCCAGGAGTGGCTTCCTGATAGAACAGTGAATTCGGCCCACTTTCCTGTTGCGTGCACTCACTCTCTCTTTCTCTTTCTCTTGCCCACTCTTTGCCCTACAGCCATGGGATGATGCAGCAGGAAGGCCCTTATCAGATGCTGGCCCCTCACTCTTGAGATTCTCAGCCTCCAGAGCTGTAAGTGAATAAATTTTGTTCACTTTAAATTACCTAGTCTCAGATATTCTGTTATATCAGCACAAAACAGACTAAGACAGGACAGGAATTTGAGAATAAATACTCCCACCTTGTCTATTCAGCAGATAATTCTAATGCACATCCTACACAGTTCTTATCCCACCTGCCCCATGGTGAAGAGAGAGAAAATCCCATAAGAAACTAGACCTCAAGAAAGACACACCTAGGTAGAGTCAGGAAGTTAGATGAGGGAGAAGAGGAGTCTGGCATTCTCTCTAGGCTGTGCCAGCATTTATGTATCTTTGTATCCCTCTAATATTTAGCTAGTGTAGCTGTTTAATAAATGTTTTGAAAAAAAATTAATATAGGGAGTACAGTAGGGTAAAAATAAAGGAAGTGTATTTCTAGAATATATTTAATTATAAATTATTATAGAAGTAGGTGTGATGGCACATGCTTGTAGTCCCAGCTACTCAGGAGGCTGAGGCAGGAGGATCACTTGAGGCCAGGAGTTTGGGCTGCAGTGCACTGTGATCATGCCTATGAACCACTGCACTCAAGCCTAGGCAACAAAGCAAAACCCTATGTCTAGAAAAGAAACAATTATTAATGAACAGCCAATATATTAGCTGTCAAGAAGAATTTGCTAAAAAATTTTTCATTTAAAATTCAGAGACTAGAGAAACACCATGTGTAGTATTTGGCTTCTAATCAGAATTTTATTGAAATAAGCCTATTATTTCTTCTATAATGAAAATTTTTATTTACATCTTCTCTCTGCAAACAAAATGTTAGCAAGGGTTAGCAAGAATTGATTGGAAGCAAGAGAAGGATAACAGGAGGGAACTTGAATAAATGCTGGCAAAGACTCCCCTCCTGCTGACTTTACTATTTTCAAAAAGCAAATGAAGAAGTATGGAAGTTATTTAGTGGAATGTTTAATAGTTTTTAAGGAGCTTAGTTTCAGTGTAAAAACATTGACAAGAGCTATTGACATTAATTTATGTGAATAGATGAAAACATAGTGAAACTTCTATTCAGGAATATTATAAACAATAAGTTTTATAAATATTTATTGCAAAATCTACCAAATTATAACTCTTTACAGTGCATTGTTCACTTAAATTTTACTGTCATAAAGTCACAGCACAGTCAGAGTCTGGAGTGCCTGGTATAAATGTTTAGTGAATGAATTATAATCAGAGGAGGTCTCCCCACCATGCTGACTCTCTCTAATACCATCAGGGCTTTCCCTTTGATATTGCCATAGCTGGGGGTAGTCTAGGAGGTCCCTAAAGGAGCACCCTCCCTAGGAAGACCCCATTTTCCCATAGGAGAAGGACCTTACTAGTGTTCTATTAATAAGAGGAAAGTGTTCACATTTGCATTAAATTGAATGCTCAACAAAGTCTTGGACAGAGTAGGTATCCTGAGGAGGTAGGTAGGGGCCTTGGAAGGGATCAGGTACATCTGCATCTATTTTAGTTTCTTATCTTTGTTTTAGTACTAATTATGTTCTTCTTTCTTTTCAGGACCTTAACATTATATTATTCTTTTTTTTTTTTTCCAGAGATAGGGTCTCGCTCTGTCACCCAGGCTGGGGTGCGGTGGTACAATCATAGCTCACGGCAGCCTCAAACTCCTAGGCTCAAGCAATCCTCCCAATTCAGCCTCCCACGTAGCTGGGACTACAAGCATGTGCCACCATGCCTGGCTAATATTTTTTTGTTTTTGTAGAAATGGAGTCTCACTGTGTTGCTCAGGCTGGTCTCAAACTTCTAGGTTCAAGCGATCCTCACGCCTTGGCCTACCAAAGTGCTGGGATTATAGGCATGAGCCACCTCACCCAGCCTATTTTATTCTTAAGAGACTTACCTGAAGTTTTAAAATGGTAAAATTTGTATTTATTTTTGCAATAACAATTTTAGTTTTCCCCAGGATAATGGAGATGACACCGTCAACTAAAGAACAAGTTAGGAAGTTCAGGAAAGAAAGAAAACCACAAAGAAAAAAATGAATAAGTTAGTGTTGGAAGACGCTCTTAAGTAGTTGTTCCCAGTTACTGGTCAGTGGGCCAATATAGAAAAGTGATAAAATTTTCACTTAACCATTGATTAGTGAGAGAGAGAGAGAGAAATAAAGGGAGAGCAACAAAAAGAGGAGTCGCATAATTTGCAAGGTTTCTTTTTGAAGTAATCAAAATGTTCTAAAATTATATCCTGGTCATTTTTGCACAAGTCTGTAAATATACTAACTACCATTGTATTGCACACCTAACAGGTGAGTTTTACAGTATGCAAATTATAGCTCAAAGATGTTTCTTAAAAGTTAAACAACTGGGCGCGGTAGCTCACACCTGTAATCCTAGCACTTTGAGAGGCCGAGGCAGGTGGATCACCTGGAGCTCGAGACCAGCATGGACAACATGGTGAAACCCTGTCTATACTAAAAATACAAAAAAAAAAAAAAAAAAGACATAGCTGGGCATGATGGTGGGCACCTGTAATCCCAGCTACTCAGGAGACTGAAGCAGGAGAATCACTTGAACCTGGGAGATGGAGTTTGCAATGAGCCTAGACTGCACCACTGCACTCCAGCCTGGGCAACAACAGCAAAAACTCCGTCTCAAAAAAAAAAAAAAAAAGTTAAAACAAAAAGGAACAAACATAGAATATGATAAATTGAAGTTTGCTGAGCACTGGCAAAGTATAGAAATGTGTTTTTTTTATGTCTGGAGAAAGGAATGGATATTGAAGAGTTAAATAAGAATCTTTGTTGCTGCCCACTTGTACCAGCTATTTTCTTTGTGGGAATGCTCTTCCCATTCCTCCACCCACTCCCACCCCCATATTAACAAGGCTAGCTTCTCTCTATCAGTCGTAACTCAGGTTCAATATCATCTTTTCATTAAAGTATTTTCTGAATGCTTAATCTAGAATAGCCACCCATTTACTCTCTGTAACTTACCATATTTTAATACTTGCATTGCAGTTATCATGATCTGATGTGTTTATGATTAAAAATAAATATATACATATTTATTTTGAAAATTGAAACCATATATAACAAAATAAGTTACTGTCTATGTAAATATGACTTCACTATTCTACTGTCTCTATTAACAAGACTTTATTATTCCTCCATCTTCATCAATATGATTTACTTTTCCTGGAAACTCTTACCCAAATGGACAAAAGATGCAAACAATTTTTCAAAAGAAGTTTCATTGAGATGTAATTAACATACCATAAAACTCACCCATGTTGGATATAGAAGGCAATAATAGTTATTACAATTAAGTATTTGTGCAAAAATTGCCACAGTATAATTTTAGAACATTTTGATCACCCCACAAAAAAATTTTGTGCCCATTTGCAGTCAATTCCCATCTCTCTCTAACAATGTGAGGCAACCATCAATCTCTTTTGGTCTCCATAGATTAGCCTATTCTAGACATTTCATATATGCAGAATCAGACAATATGTGATCTTTTGTGTCTTCTTTCACTGAATATACTGTTTTAGAGATTCATCCATGTTGAAGCATGTATCAGCACTTCATGACTTTTCATTGTTAAATAGTATTCCACTTTATAGATATACTAAATTTTGTTTATCCATTTATCAGTCGATGAACATTTGGGTTGTTTTCACTTTGAGATTATTATGACTAATGCTACTATGAACATTTGTGCACAAGTCTCTGTGTGAAGACACACTCTCATTTCTCTTGGGTAGATTCCTTGGATGGTTGGGTCATGTGGTAACTCCTATGTTTAACACTTGAAGAAACTACCACACTGTTTCCCAACAAGTCTGAACCATTTTTACATTCCCAGTAGTTGATACATGAGGGTCCTCATTTCTCCACATCTTCATCAACACTTGCTATTTTCTGGATTTAAAAATATACATCTATTGGTTATATGTCTTATGGGATCTCTTGTGGTTCTGATTTGCATTTTCCTACTGCCTAATGACATTGAGCATCCTTTCATGTGCTGACTGACAATCTGTGTATCTTCTTTGGATAAATGTCCATGTAAACCCCTTGTCTATTTTTAAATTGAATCATTTGTCTTTTTCTTGTTGAGTTGTGAAGGATAGCAAAATTTGCCACCCCAAATTACACCATTTTGGCATAAAGATTATTTTGAGCTAAAGGCGATTGAGAAGAAACAGATACAAGGAAAGCTCTCTGCTCTTCCCCTAGTTACCGAAAAGCAGGACATAAATTTGTAATTTCCTCTGCCAAGAAATACAGAAGTGAATTGCTAGAACAAACTCTAGACCTTTATCTGCTTAGGGATGTCACCAATGGAATCTGCCTAACAAACCTTGCTAAAACTAGCCCTTATCTACCACTAGTTTCCCCATATATTTGCCTTCCCACAACTTGCCACCCCAGAAGCTGAAAGTCCTTTTGCTTTGTTTTGTCACTTCTCTAAAAATGTATGTTTCTTTCATTAAGATGCTATGTAAGCCCAAGTTCTAACCACCCCTTTGAGTTACTCATCTTTAAATGCTCCCACGTGTATGTGCAATGCACATATTAATAAACTCCTGTTTGTTTCTCTCTTGTTAATCTCTTTTGTCCATTTAATTTACAGGGCACCGCCAGAGAAGGGCAGAGGGAAAAAGACTTTCTTCCCCTAAAGTTGTAAGTTCTCAATATATTCCAGATACAAGTCCCTTATCAAATTATGTGATTTGGAAATATTTTCTTCCAGCCTCTAGGTTTGTCTTTTGCCTTTCCTGATCATGTCATTTGAAGCATGAATGTTTCTAATATTGATGAAGTCTAATTTACCAAATGTTTCTTTTATCACTATGATTTAGTATTGAATCTAAGAAATCATTACCTAACCCTGGGTCACAATTTACTCCTATGTTTACTTCTAAGAGCATTAAAATTTTAGCTCCTGTATTTAGGTCTATGATCCATTTTGAGTTAACTTTTGTGTGTGGTGTATGATACGAGTCCAAATTTTTGTGTGTAGTGTATGGTAGGCATCCAAATTACTTTAGCAAGTGGATAGCCAATTGTTCTAGCACCAATTATTTAAATGACTCTTTTTTCCTCCATTGAATTGTCTTTGCACCTTTGTCAAAAGTCAATTGCCCATAACAGCTAACACAATCTTGTTAAACAAAAATTAAGTTGGAAGACTTATACTTCCTCACATCTAAACTTAACACAAAGCTATTATAATTGAACAGTATAGTGCTGGCATAAGGATAGACATATAGATCAATGGAATAGAACTGAGAGTCTAGAAATAAATCTATATATATGTAGCTAATTGATATTTGACAAGAGTAACAAAACCACTCAATAAAGAAAGAATAGGCCGGGCGCGGTGGCTCACGCCTGTAATCCCAGCACTTTGGGAGGCCGAGGCGGGTGGATCATGAGGTCAGGAGATCGAGACCATCCTGGCTAACAAGGTGAAACCCCGTCTCTACTAAAAATACAAAAAATTAGCCGGGCGTGGTGGCGGGCGCCTGTAATCCCAGCTACTCGGGAGGCTGAGGCAGGAGAATGGCGTGAACCCGTGAAGCGGAGCTTGCAGTGAGCCGAGATTGCGCCACTGCAGTCCGCAGTCCGGCCTGGGCGACAGAGCGAGACTCCGTCTCAAAAAAAAAAAAAAAAAAAAAAAAAAGAATAGTCTCTCCAACAAAGATATCAGGACAATTAAATAGCCATATGCAAAAGAATGAAGTTTGATCCCCACCTTGTTCCATCTACAAAAATTTACTCAAAATGAATAAACTCAAGACTTAAATGTAGGAGCTAAAACTATAAAACTGTTATGAAAAAGAAATAGGGATAAATCCTTATCACCTTGAATTTGGCAATGGATTCTGAGAAATTACATCAAAAGCACAAGCAACGAAAGAAAAAATAAATTGGACTTCAAAATTTTAAAGTTTTATGCATCAAAGCACATGATAAAGAGAAAAATAAACAATGAATGGGAGAAAACAGTTGCAAATCATATATTTGATATGAGTCTACAAGTATGCAGAATACGTAAAGAATTCTTACAACTCAACAGAAAAAAAATAAAAATGAGCAAAGGACTTTAACAGACATTTTTCTAAAGATATACAAATGGCCAATAAACACATGAAAAGATGCTAAACATGATTAGTCAATTAGGGAAATGCAAATCAAAACCATAATGAAGTACTGCTTCACACAATTAGGATAGCTATAATTTTTTTAAGAAAGAAAAACAAACAAAAACAAGTGTTAGTAAGGATGCAGAGAATATCAGAGCCCTCAAACATTGCTGGTGAGAATGTAAAATGGGTCAGCCACTGTGAAAAACAATTTGGTGATTCCTTAATAAGGTAACATATCATTACCATATGATCAAGCAATTCCACTCCTAGGTATATATCCAAAAGAATTAAAAACAGGTATTCCAACAAATACTTGTACACAAATGTTCACAGAAACACTATTAACAATTGCCAAAAGGTAGAAACCACCCAAGTGTCTATCAACTGAAGAATGGATAAACAAACTGTGATATGTCCATATGATAGAACATTATTCAAAGCTGGGCGCGGTGGCACATGCCTGTAATCCCAGCTACTCAAGATGCTGAGGAGGAAGGATCATTCTTTTTTTTTTTTTTTGGAGGGGGGGAGGATTTAAAGATAGTAAACTTTATTTCTTAACATATGATCCGTCAAGTTTGAGACACATTTGCAAGCAATGATACTAGCCTTTTAGTCCATCCCTAAAGAACAGAGGATCCTGGAAATGTAACCATATCAATGCAGACCCTTTTACGTTATTAAATGAAGTAAAATGGGTACCCTTGAGTGATTTTTTTTTTAATTTTTACAATCTTTCTTTAGAGATGGGGTCTTATTCTGTTGCCCAGACTAGAATGCTGTGGTGCCACCATAGCTCACTGCAGCTTCCAATTCCTTGGCTCAAGCAATCCTCCTGCCTTAGCCCTCAGAGTAGCTAGGACTACAGGTGTGTGCTACCATGCCCAGTTACAAACCTCTTTTTATATAGACATATTATAAGCATCTTTTCATGTCAATATAGATCTGCCTCATTCTATAATTGTATGAATGTATCATAATGTTATAATTTCTCTACTAATAATACATTGAATATACATACCTTTATTAATATGCATTTCTATTACCATCTTTACTTAACGGTCCATTATTCACTAAATCAGAGCTTCCTTCTAGTATGCCTGACTTTTGCATCTCATTCATCCCAGTCATGCTTTTATTATATAACAGGGCACACAGTAGACACGAAAGATATTCTGTAAACTGGAGGGGATACAGGACATTTTTGAGAAGGTACAAAGTCCTCAGATGGGCTTAGAAAATTCACTGTGTAATCCATACATTATTCTACTCAATTTGCACATCTTTGGGTTGATGTATATACTGCTACGGTGTCCTCGCCATCACCTAAATGTGACTCAGTCTGTTCTACTGTAATTATCTTGTGAATTTCCTTGTCCTGTACTTTTATTGTTGGTCTTCTTGCATTGATGATACAACAGCAACAACATTTTTAATTATTGTCAAAAGATTAACTTGCAATGTACAGAGTTTACTCAAAATTTTCTTCTTTAAGGAAAAACACTGCAAAAAGTCAAGAGGATACCAAATTGAAACACACAATGGTGCCTCTGAGTCAATATGAAATCATGATGAAGTAGAAATAAAGCCTTTCCGAGATCGCAAATTAAAAAAAAAATGATGCAAATAGAAAATATCCTTCACTTTTAAGGCGTAGTCCTAACTTCAGGTTTTCTGTCCTGTATTTCCCATAATTACTACACATGCCTCATGCTCTAATTTTTTAGTTACAGTTGAAATAAGGTTTAAACTCCAATTAGGCTTTTTTCCTTGCCAAATTGTATTATATATATTTTAAATACTACTTCTACCAAATGTTTTAACTTACTTTCTTCCAAGGATATTTGCTTTTTGACATTTTACGGAAGGCTATTAGAGGATCAGCCTCCTATTCCCTATGTTTGCCCACATAAATGCACGTGGGCTGTGGGGGTAGAGCATGGAACAGGCAAGCGCCTGTAATTGTGACTATTTCTGTAGAAGAGGAGGGCCTAGGGTGAATTTCCAATAGCCATTGTTGCTCTCCTTTCACCATCTACCATAGCTTGCAAGAAAAAATTACTATCAGTTTAGCATCATACACCTGAAGCTGCCAAGTTCAACTCCAGCTCAAATCAGATATATGACAAATTTCAGGACAACAATGACTCATACATTTGTAGCTAAGAATTTTAAGCCCAGGAGGTTTCACACATTAAACACATACTTTAAACACAGAAATAGAAGATAGTCTTTGCTAAAATAAGTGAATAATAAGAATATGTAAGCATGAAAATACATGGACATTCATAGAACATCTCTCTACAGCTTATTAAAGGAGAGGTACAGACAGGGTCCTGGTTTACTGGTACAATTTGGCAATCAAAACAGTTCCTGAAGGAGATTAAGATGGCTGTTCCTCTTTCTAGATTTTGTTTAATTTCAGCTTTATACATTTTTCAGCTTTATATATTTTCCATAGAATCCTTCTACCTTTTTGCTGAATTTAGCATCCCTTTCATTAATGTAGTCAATATCTGCATCATTATTATAGGGACATCTTGAGCTATATTTGTCTCATGCTTCAATTTGCTTTTCCCAGTCTATGAGCATCCTATCGATTTCCTCTGTGGAAGGCACATATTCCGTGAAGAAGGCTGCTGGATATTGGGTAGAACTCCTGTCCATAGTTTTCTCTTAGTTTTAATTTCTATGTCAGGTTTGATCTGTTTCGTCGACCATGGCACTGGCATACCTGGGCAGCAGCATAATATGAAATTCCCAGATCAGGGTTTTTCCTCTTCTATTTCCTTCCCCACCTCAGAAGGATCACTTGAGCCCACGGGTTCAAGACCAGCCTTGGCAACATAGTAAGATCCCATTTCAAAAAATAGAACATTATTCAGCAATAAAAAGGAATAAAGTACTGATCCATGCTACAATGCAGATGAGCCTCCAAAACATTATATGAAGTATAAGAAGTCAGGCACAAAAGATCACAGACTATATGACCCCATTTTTATGAAACTTCCAGAATAGGTAAATCTATAAAGACAAGAAGCTGACTAGTGGTTTTCAGTGGATAAGGATAAGTGGATGGAAGTATATGCTTGATGGTTATGGGGTTTGCTTTGGGGATGATGAAAATATATTGGAAATAGATAGAGGTAATGGTTGCACAACATTATGAATGTACTAAGTGCCATTAAATTGTACACTTTGAAGTAGTTGATTTTTATGTTATGCGAAATTTACCTCAATTCAATTTTTAAAAATCTATTGATCATAAATATAAGGGCATTTCTGGACTCTCAGTTTGATTCTACTATCTATATGTCTATTCTTATGTTACACACAAAAAATTTTATTCTTCTCAAGAATTCCCTGAAAAACTCATTTAAATGAATGTCAAACTCTTCACCTATTTAATAAATAGCATCAAATGACTATTTACTCCCAGACTTCAAAGATTTGCTTCAAAATCCTTGCCTTTCTGGGTTCACAATTCCTAAACTATTGTATCATAATTTTTATCCAATCTTAATCAAGCCTTTATATTAAAAGAAGTACCTTAAAACATCCTCCAAAACTTTATAAATATTGTGAATTTGTCTTCTCCACTATCAGGTGTTACTAAAAATATCTATCAAGGTAGTGCTCTCCCTCACCACAGTAAGAATAAACTCAGCCTTGTCTTACTAACAGATTATTTTGGTGAACTTTTCAGGGAGGCCGAATTCAATGATCTTATAGGTTTTACCAAGAACCAATGAAGGGCTCCAAGGCTCTTCATGATGGCCCCAAGGCTCTGGACAGTACACTCTTCAGAAATCGTTTAAGCCTCGCATTTGGTGGGCAAAGGGTATCTCTGACCATAACAGGGAGGTAAATATTGCAATGGGCCAAGCTCTGAATACTTTTTGTTGAAAAAATCTCAGCTTTATTTTTGCCTCCCAGTACTTAGGAACTAGTTTTAGGAATCTTTTCATTATCTGATAAAGTAACTTTTATCTTGGTGGAAATCTGCCTTTGTACTAATAACATTACTTGTCTTTGTCCTTGTCAAATATGTCTTTGTAACATGCCCTTAAGGAGAATGTTCCTAGGGAAAGAATGGGTACAGGCCCCAATAAATGTCTGTTTTCACAAGCTGGACCTGAGGACTGAAATGTATAGGCATTCTTTAGACAAACTCTTCCTCGTGTCACTTAAAACTTAATGTAAATTTTCCTGAGTCTTTTGTTTTGCTCTTTTGTCTGTGGATGCCTGGTTTGGTGAGAGCTTTTATTAAAACTTGTTATACAGAAGCTGCAAATTAGTGAGATTTACAGATAGAGATGGCATAGCCATTAGGCTGGGGAAATGATTCATGACATATATAAGCAATACTTTCAACTTTAGGGCTTTTTCTCAGTCTAAACCTATATTTGCAACAACTCTGGGTTGGCTCCTAGTTTTTACATGTATTTATGCTGTAACAAATTTGTGTGCTAAATTATCTGTATGGCATAATTTCACCGAGTATAATTTAGAATTAGGGTGGCCATTTGATGCAATTTGACATAAACAAAATTATTCAGTTGAGAGGTGATTTAAGGGCAAAAATGAAACAGAATCCCAAAGACCCAATGGTCTGCTGTTTTTTTTGTTTGTTTTTGTTTTTTTTACTGGTTTGAGGAAGGCTTAATTCCAAAAAGAACTAATATTCAAAAATATCTTTCTGAAGAGGAAGGCAGAGGAAGAATTGAAACAGAAGAGGAAAATTCCATGTGATAATGGAAACAGAATTTCGAAGGTGATAATGCTGCTGGCTTTAAAGATGAAAGAAGGGACCATAAGCCAAGGAATGCAGCTCTAGAAGCTGGAGAAGGCAAGGAAACTGATTCTCCCTTAAAGCTTCTAGGAGGAACAAGCCCTGCCAATACTTTGACTTGAACCTAGGGAAACTGACTGGGGCTGGCCGGGCCTGGTGGTTCACGCCTGTTGTAATCTCAGCACTTTGGGAGGCCGAGGCGGGTGGATCACCTGAGGTCAGGATTTGGAGACCAGCCTGGCCAACATGGTGAAACCCTGTCTCTACTAAAAATACAAAAATTAGCTGGGCGTGGTGGCACCCGCCTGTAGTCCCAGCTACTCGAGAGGCTGAGGCAGGAGAACCACTTGAACCTGGGAGGTGTAGGTTGCAGTGAGCTGAGATCGCGCCCCCTACACTCCAGCCTGGGCGACAGAGCGAGACTCCATATCAAACAAACAAACAAAAGAAACAAAAGAAATTGATTGCCTTCTAGCCTCCAGACTATAAGAAAATAAATGTGTGGTGTTATGAGCTACCAAGTTTGTAACTAATAAGAGACAAATGTAGCTAGTTACCTAAAAATCTTCTCCTCTATTTTTTCTAGCAATGTTATTGATGTATAATTGACTTAAAATAAGTCATATATATTTAATAGTACAATTTGATAAGTTTTGACATACGTAAGCACCTATGAAACCATCACCATGTATAATCAAGACACTGAATATATACATTACTCCCCCAAATTTCCTTGTGCTCCTTTGTAACTTCTCCCCATTCCCCACCCAATCCCCGGGCAACCACATATCTACTTTCTATCATTATAAATTAGTTTGTATTTTCTAGAATCTTACGTAAGTGAAACTATACAGTATGTATTTTTTCTGACTTTCACTAAGCATAATTATTTTAAGATTCATTCTTGAAATATTGTGTATCAATAGTTAATTTATTGTAATATGTATTGTATTGTTTATACATTTATCAGTTGTTAGGCATTTTCCATTTTTGGTTATTTACAAAGTTGCTATGAACATATGTATGCAAGTCTTTGCTGGAATGACAGGATTATAAGGTAAACGTGTATTTAACATTTTAAGAAACTAGTGAACTATTTTCAAAAGTGTTCATATCATTTTACATTCCCACACAATGTATGAGAATTCCAGCTCCTCTATATCCTTGCTAACATTTGATATAATCAGTCCGTTTAATTTTAGTCATTCTAATATTAGTTTAGATACTACCATTCTCCTTTTGTTACTATTTGCATAGAACAACCCTTTCCATCCTTTCACTGTTAACCTATTTGTGTCTTTGAATCTAAAGTGAGTCTTTTAGAGACAGTATATAGTTGGATCATGTTTTTTTTTTTTTTTTTTTTTTGGTCCATTCTGCCTATCTCTGTCTTTTGACTGGAGAATTTAATCCACTTACATTTGGAATAATCATTGATAAGGAAAGACTTATTCCTTTATTTTGCTATTTGTTTTCTACATGCCTTATAGCTTTTTTGTCCATTTCCTGCATTACTGTCTTTTGTATTGAGTTGATATTTTGTAGTGAAATGTTTAAATTTCTCATATCATTTTGTATACATTCTTCAGTTATTTTCTTGTGGTTACCATGGGATTACATAACACCCTAAAGTTATAACACTCTAATTTGAATTTATAGCAGATTAACTTTAATAACATACACTACTTCTCTAACAGCTCTATCCCCAACCCTTTTGATTGTCAATGTCATAAACTTATATTTTTATACACTGTCCAAAAACATAAGCTAATAACTTTCTAACACATCAGTGTCTTAAATTACACAGAGAATAAAGCATGGAGTTGCAAAACATGATTATCGTAACAGCTTTTAGACTAATACTTGTTTATTTTTAAATGTATCAGTCTTTTAAACCATTTAGAAAAAACAGTTACACATTATTTTTATAATACTAGGTTTTATAATGCAATTTTGATTTGACAATTTTTTTTCTTTTAGTACTTAAAAAACATAAGTGCATTGTCTTCTGGCCTCCAAAGTATCTGACGATAAATCTGCTGTTAATCTTATTGTGTCCAGAATTGGTGGGTTCTTGGTCTCACCGACTTCAAGAATGAAGCCGGGGACCCTCACAGTGAGTGTTACGGTTCTTAAAGATGGTGTGTCCAGAGTTTGTTCCTTCTGATGTTCAGACGTGTTCGGAGTTTCTTCCTTCTGGTGGGTTCATGGTCTCGCTGGCTTCAGGAGTGAAACTGCAGACCTTCGCAGTGAGTGTTACAGCTCTTAAGGTGGAGCATCTGGAGTTGTTCATTCCTCCCAGTGGCCTCGTGATCTCGCTGGCCTCAGGAGTGAAGGTGCAGACCTTTTCAGTAAATGTTACAGCCCATAAACGCAGTGCTGATCCAAAGAGTGAGCATCAGCAAGATTTATTCCAAAGAGTGACAGAACAAAGCTCCCACAGTGTGGAAGGGGACCCTAGCTGGTTGCCGCTGCTGGCTCAGGCAGCCTGCTTTTATTCCCTTCTCTGGCCCCACTCACATCCTGCTGATTGGTCCATTTTACACAGAGCTGATTGGTCCATTTTACAGACAGATGATTAGTCCGTTTTACAGAGAGCTGATTGTTCCGTTTTGACAGGGTGCTGATTGGTGCATTTACAATCCCTGAGCTAGACACAGAGTGCTGATTGGTGCATTTACAATCCTCTAGCTAGACATAAAAGTTCTCCAAGTCCTCACCAGATTAACTTGACACAGAGCACCGACTGGTGAGTTTACAAACCTTGAGCTAGACACAGGGTGCTGATTGGTGCGTTTACAAACCTTGAGCTAGACACAGGGTGCTGATTGGTGTGTTTACAAACCTTGAGCTAGACACAGAGTGCTGATTGGTGTGTTTACAAACCTTAAGCTAGAAACAGAGTGCTGATTGGTGTATTTACAATCCTTTAGCTAGACATAAAGGTTCTCCAAGTCTCCACTAGAGTAGCTAGACACAGAGCATTGATTGGTGCGTTTACAAACCTTGAGCTAGAGACAGGGTGCTGATGGGTGTGTTTACAAACCTTGAGCTAGATACAGAGTGCTGATTGGTGTATTCACAATCCTTTAGCTAGACATAGGTTCTCCAAGTCCCCACCAGATTAGCTAGATACAGAGTGCTGATTGGTGCATCCACGAGCCCCGAGCTAGACACAGAGTGCCGATTGGTGCATATACAACCCTCCAGCTAGACATAAAAGTTCTCCAAGTCACCACTGGACTCAGGAGCCCAGCTGGCTTCGCCTAGTGGATCCCGCCCCAGGGCTGAAGGCGGAACTGCCTACCAGTCCCGCACTGCACGCCTGCACTCCTCAGCCCTTGGGCGGTCAATGGAACCGGGTGCGGCGGAGCAAGGGACGGCGCCCCTCTGGGAGGCTCGGGCCCCACGGGAGCCCACTACGGGGTGCGGGTGGCAGGGGGGGCTTAGGCATGGTGGGCTGCAGGTCTGAGCCCTGCCCTGCGGGGAGGCAGCTGAGACCCAGTGAGAATTCGAGTGCAGCGCGGGTGGGCCATTAGTGCTGGGGTACCCGGCACCCTGTCTGCAGCTACTGGCCCGGGTGCTAAGCCCCTCACTGCCCAGGGCTGGCAGTGCCGGCCGGAGGCTCTGAGTGTGGGGCCTGCCGAGCCTACGCCCACCCGGAACTCGCATTGGTCCGCCAGAGCTGTGCGCAGCCCGGATTCCCGCCCACACCTCTCCCTCCACACCTCCCTGCAAGCAGAGGGAGTCGGCTCCAGCCTCGGCCAGCCCAGAGAGGGGCTCCGACAGTGCAGCGGAGGGCTAAAGGGCTCCTCAAGCGTGGCCAGAGCAGACGCAGAGGCTGAGGAGGCGCTGAGAGCGAGCGAGGGCCACCAGCACGTTGTCACCTCTCATTATGACCCCTTGTGACAAGTCACTTCTCTCTTGCAGCTTTCAAAATTCTCTTTGTGTTTGTCTTCCAATATTTTGATGATAATATCTTGGTGTGGGTCTCTGAGTTCATCACACATTGAGCTTGTTGAGCTTCTTGGATGTTTATATTCATATCGTCCATCAAATTTGGGAAGTTTTTAGCCACTACTTTTTCAGATATTCTCTCTTTTTCTTTCTCTTCTTTTTCTAGGAATACCATAATGCCTGTGTTGTTTAGCTTTATGGTGTCACATAGGTCTCTTGGGCTCAGTTCCGTTTTCTTCAATCTTTTTCTTTCTGTTTCTCAAACTCAGTAATTTTCATTGTTCTATTTTCAAGTTCACTGATTCTTTCTCCTGCCTGCCCAAATCTGCCTTTGAATACTTCTAGTGATTTTTTTCATTTCAGTTACTATAATTTTCAGCTCCACGATTTTTTTCTTTTTAGGCTTTTTATTTCTTTAATGATTTTTCCATTTTGTTCAGACATCATTTTGTTGACTGTCATTTCTTCCTTTAGTTCTTTGAGCATCTTTAAGACAGTTGTTTTAAAGTCTTTGTCTGTCTAGTAGATCTGCCATCCAGTCTTTTTCAAAGATAGTTTATTGTTTTTTTCCTTTTGAAAAGACCATACTTTCCTGTTTCTTTGTATGCTTTGTGATTTTTTTGTTGTTGTTGAAAACTGTATATTTGCATCTAATAATGTCGTACCTTTGGAAATCAGGTTCTCTCCCTTCCCTAGGTTTTGCTGGTGTTTTGGGTTTTATTATTATTTTTGTTGCTGTTATTGTTATAGGTTGTGTCTGTGCTGAGGATCAGCCTGAGGTTTAAACTTAAGGCCTTCTCTGGTCTTTGCTGAGCCTGCACCTTCACCTGGGCGTGTGTGGTGACTTTCTAGTTTTCCTTACATATGCAGTTGCTTTTGAATGTCCTAGTCTTCAATGTCTTACTTCCATAAGGGGAGACAGAGAAAAATAACAGGAGAGAAAAGGCTCTGCCTCTTTAAATCTCCTGGATATTACTTTAGCCAGAGGAGTGGGAGGGTTTGCAACAATGGGGGTTAGTGCAACCGTAATGACCACCACCTCTTTTTCTATACCTCTGTGATCAGATGCAGCAATCAATGATCACAGCACAGATCCCCAATATTTTTAGGACATGGTCCTTTTTGCCTGTTCTGGTTCCTGCAAGCTGTGTGCAAGCTGCTCCAGAAACATATTCACAGCTGCCCACTATTGGGCTGAAGGGTGGGACTGTTATTTAAAATAACGTTATGAAACTACATGCTAACATAAATATTTGTGTTTTCTAAAACAAAAATAATTTAGTGAGAAGAATGGCATTGTTTTACCTTTATATAAATCTCTCTGGTGGATAATTTAATATAAAATCACTGGATTGGCTGGGCACAGTGGCTCATGCCTGTAATCCCAGCACTTTGAGAGGTCAAGGCAGGCAGATCACAAGGTCAGGAGATCGAGACCATCCTGGCTAACACGGTGAAACCCTGTCTCTACTAAAAATACAAAAAAATTAGCGGGGTGTGGTGGTGGGTGCCTGTAGTCCCAACTACCAGGGAGGCTGAGGCAGGAGAATCACTGAAACCCGGGAGGCGGAGGTTGCAGTGAGCTCAGATCACGCTGCCGCACTCCAGCCTGGGTGGCAGAGTGAGACTCCATTTCAAAAAAAAAAGAAGAAAAGAAAAAGAAAATCACTGGATTTTCATATCAGTTTCTGCATTCAGTCTGTTGCAATATCACACCCCATGCAGCCTCTGGAAAACTCTATTGTACACTTGTGAGAGAATATAAGTGAAAAGGCAAACGGTCTTAGTATTATTTTGAAGATAGTTTGACCTCATGAACCACATTTTGAAAATTGTTGATCTAATTCATCCTTCAGTCTAGTACTAAAAAGTCGTCTCTGTACTAATATTAACAAAGCTTCTACCTAATACTAGATGATATCTGAGGTTCTTTATTAAACTAACGTCCTACAGTTCTATAGATGAACAAGCAAATTTCTCACAAAAAAAAACTTTGCTATTAGCTAATTGTTTTAGATTAATATTAGGTTTCTTATCACTGCTCCTATCTCTGCTGGGTGTGTGAATTGAAATATTGTAATGGAAAATGAACAAGCTTTGTGTCCAACCAAACAAGCTATAGTTAAAATACCAGTTCTGCCTACTGTGGCCTTGGACAAATTATTTAATCTTATTAAGCCCTAGTTTCATCACCTACTTTGTCAAGATTAAGTAAATCAACATTTAGTTTTAGCACAGTGTTTTGAATGTAGAAAGCATTAAACAAATGTTAGTTCCTTTTATGTTTTTCCAATCATATACCTTTTATTAGTTAACCTCACCTACAGGAAGACTCATTGCCCCATTATGACCACTGTGGGAAGGCTAAAGTTTAATATCTATTACTGTACAATACCTAAGAAGTGAGTCAACTTGGAGATACTAGACTTGCAAACCCAAACAATTTAAAAAATTGTACAGGGGTTAAATAGCAAACATTACATCAAACTGCCCTGAAATTCTCACTATTTCAGCTACAAATATGACCTATTAGAGCTAGTTTATTAGCTCTTTCTATAAACATGGATTAACTCAAATCACTACCAAGGTGGAAAGTAGACAGCAGGTCACTAAGGAATGTATCATATGTTCTGAAGGGCAGAGAAAAGGAATATGAGGCTAAGATCCACCTGGGAGGAGAGTTCCTTTGTGCCTTTCAGTGGCTCACAAGCCTAAGGATACTGGGCATGGAATGCCAGATGCCATTGAAAGGAGAAGGAAGGGGATGTTAACTGTATGTCTTACCCATTTGCCTAATTATAATTACCATTAAATGTCCTCTCACTTAGAGCTCACAAGAAACCTGTCAGGTAGTTATTATTTACATCTGATTAATGTGTAGTGAAGCTCAAAGGATTGGGTACTTCATACTTAGCTAGTAAGTAAAACGGCTAGTATTTAAACCTCAGCCTGTTTTGCTTTCAGGTTCGCCTCTTAACATTGCACTACTTACTATCCTTGAAAAATGTTTCCTAAAGAATGGCCCTAAGTGTTGAAGCTAAACTTTGAGCAAGTGCCTGCTTCCTAAGTGATGATTCTGTGCCCTAGACCTTTGTGAGAATTTGAAGTTTTCTTTCACCCCCAACAAAACACTCAGGTAAGGATTGGGCTTATTATAACTGAGTCACTTTATCAATTCAGTTGCGGAGTCATTTTCCGCAAGTATTCTGGGAGGGATTAAAAAATCAAAGTACACAAACTGAAAACAGTTTTGATTGCCAGCAATTGTATCCAAGAATGTTAAAGATTCAGTTCAAGCATGTTGTTCATTACTTGATTTATTCTGGGTGGCATTACCAATGTGTGTTCCTGCATTTGGAGTTACTCTTAACTGTAAAGAGGCTCTGATTTCTATGTAAACACTTCAGGCCAAAAGACAGCAATTTTAAAAAGCAATCCAGACAATCATTTGTTTGAAACACCAACTTAGAGAGGAGTAATGTTAACATAAACATACCACATCTTTGACCTATATTAAAACACATGTCTCATATTGGCTACAAGCAAACTTTGAGTCCTTTGTAAAATCCATACAGTTACCCAGCAGGCATGATGTCAATCCAAATCACTGTGGTTACTGTATAGCTACTTATTATCCAAACAACCCTGAAACAAAAGACCTGAAATTCGCTGTTTTGGATGCTGCTTCCTGCTGCCAGGAGGAGGTGTGTTTAACTTACAAGAGACTGAACAGCAGTTAGATGAACACTTTAGATCAAAAGATCCAAGTAAATAGACAATGAAGAAAAGACTTCTGTTTGATAGCAGACAACATACTTTCCCAAAAATGTATCTTAATTCAAGTTCAAAAATTGATATAAAAAGACTGGTCACGCAAATGAATGTAAGAAACATATTAGTAAACACATGAATGAAACTGTGCTCCAAAGAGTTAAAGAAACCAATAACTAACAGACATTCTTGAATTTGAAGGTTAGTCAATAATAAAAGGAAACAACTTGCCGAAAAGCTGAAACTCCCTCTACTTGAGGGATTTTAAAAAACTGGATGAAACAATGAACTGAACTGTTGGAAACAATGTGGCCAACTGGAGTTTGCGCAGAGCAAATTTGTTGATGTCACAGCCTGAATTTCTACCACATTTCATATTAAGTCCCCCTAAATTTGCACCTGTGACCCATGAGGAGGCACAAAGGGATAACTGGGCGTGCCTGAGGACTTTCCAGACCTCCCCTTTTCTTCCACCAATCACCTACTAGTCTCAGAATCACCCCCTAAACCTTTTCTAATAAAAGTAAAGCCAACACAGAGAGACGGCTTTGAGCTGGACTCCTGTCTTCTTGTGAGTTGACATATAACAAAAAGCTTTTCTTTTCCCAACAGCCCAGAGTCATTGTATATTGGCTTTTAGTGCATCAGGCATCAAGCCCTTTCTGCTTGAGAAAATGAATACAACTCCATTCAGAAACATATTAGCACTGCTGACAGCATAGCAGAAGCTTGGCAAATTATTATTAATCATGGAGTCATACACTAATAATGGTCATGTACTTATTTCGTATGATATTATCATTATGTCTTCAACACAAGAGATGATCAACAATATGGGCTATGGCTGGGGGCAGTGGTTCACACCCGTAATCTCAGCACTTTTGAAGGCTGAGGCAGGAGGATCACTTGAACCCAGGAGTTCAAGACCAGCCTGGGCAAAATAGCGAGATTCCCCCATCTCTACAAAAATTAAAAAAAAAAAAAATTAGCTGGGCATAGCAGTGCGTGCCTGTGGCCCCAGCTACTTGAAAAGCTGAAATGAGAGGATCACTTGAGCCCAGGTGGTTGAGACTGCAGTGAGCCATGATCATATCCCTGCACTTGCAACCTGAGTGACAGAACATGATCCTGTCTCAACAATTAATAGTAATAATAATGATAATATAGGCTAATTTATTTTGGAATCATGGGATGAAAATTTTGTAGCATTAATGCCATAATTAGAAATACTAAGTATATTCCAAAGTATTCAAATATTGCTGAGAATCATAGAGGAAGCCTAAGTAACAGATAAGGACAGTGAGCACAGAGAGGGGAAGAAGAAAAAAAGACCATTAAAGGAGGAAGTAAAAAACAAACCTGAGGTAAATACGGGAGCAGTAACAAGATCATGAGTACAGTAGGAATGATTAAGATATAAAGTCACCTGGAGAGAAGAGAATTACCTCTATTTCATGCTTTTACATTCTTGTTAGAGGTTAGTGAAGTAGAAGTTTGGGAATAGAGTCCTACAGTGGCCTGTATTCTGAGTAGCTGATTGTGACATATTTTATGTGAGCCACATAAAATGCAGGTGTGAGCCACTGCACCCGGCCTCAAAGTACACTTCTTATAGTATGACTCTATTAGGGCTCTGAGTCACAGAAAACTTAATTAAAAACTTTCATTCTAAGATCTCAGGGATGGTCTCTAATCAAGGCAACAGATAAGTGAGGGGTTATCAGATACCAGGCAGAATATTAATCGGTATTGCTGAGGAGACAGGCTAGAGAGAAAGCTAGAAATTTATCCTCAAGGTGGAAGATAAAAGAAAAGTGAACAGACATTCAGGGATGGATCTGCCTTAAGTATGAGTCAAGTATTTGCTTCAAATGTGGGTAGTGGCTGAGGGTAAAACAAAAATCTGATTCATCTGAAAGGCAGGAAGGGTTACCAGAAGTTCAATATGGCTAACACAGAGGAGGAATGAGTTCCTGTAAAGGACAATTTAGTCCAAAAGTGTATACTAATTCTAGTGGGCGCTAATTTAAGAATGAGTGCCAGGTTTATCAGCTTTACAGTATAAGATAGCATTGTTATTTCTCTAATTAAAGAATACCATACCTTCTTATTTGCATGTCTTTGGGGGTTCAATAGCCCTAACTCTGGAGGCAATGGTTTAGGGGGCAAAGCAACACAACTTTGGATGGCCTCCTAACAGGATGGATGTACCCTAACTCATTCAATTATCTTCCTCTTTATAGTTGTTTCCAGTTAGCAGCCACTGTAAGTAGTGCTTCAAAAAGCACTAGCATGCTTATTTCTATAGGAGAATCCCAAAGTTGAGAAAAGCCTGAGTTACTTTCCAAGAGCTGTAGCAATGTATGCTCCTGTGGATAAGAGTGTACATTTGGCCGGGCGCAGTGGCTCACGCCTGTAATCCTAGCACTTTGGGAGGCCGAGGCGGGCAGATTACGAGGTCAGGAGTTCAAGACCAGCCTGACCAACATGGGGAAACCTCCATCTCTACTAGAAAAATACAAAAATTAGCCTGGCATGGTGGCACATGCCTGTAATCCCAGCTACTCAGGAGGCTGAGGCAGGAGAATTGCTTAAATCTGGGAGGTGGAGGTTGCAGTGATACGCCACTGCACTCCAGCTATATGGAAGATATAAAGTTAGGCCTGTACCTTTTATCATATACCAAATGCAAGCTCCAAGATCGCGCCACTGCACTCCAGCCTGGGTGACAGAGCAAGACTCTGTCTCAAAAAAAAAAAAAAAAAAAGAGTGTACATTTTACCACCACACTCTCCCAGTGTGGGATATTGTGAATTGTTTTAATTTTTGCTAATCCAATAAACTTGGTATTTGGTTGGTTGATTTGTATTCCCAAAAGTGAGGTAGTACAGTTGAGTATTTTCTGTGTCTTGTCCTCTTTCATTTCCTTTTCAATGAATTACTTGTTCATTTCTTCTGCCCATTTTTATTGCTTTTTGAAAAAAATTATAAAAGTTTTTACATTAGAATTGTTAACCTAGTGTCCTATGTTTTATAAATATTTTATCATTGTCCCTCATTTATCTTTCAATGTGTCATGGTGACTTTTGCTGTTCAAATATTTTAAACTTTAACATAATGAAACATACTCATCTTTTATTTTATGGTTTCTAGGATTCCGGTCTTGCTCTGTCACCCAGGCTGGAGTGCAGTGGTGCAACAGCTCACTGCAACCTCCAACTCTTGGGCTCAAGGGATCCTCCCACCTCAGCCTCCTGAGTAGCTGGGACTACAGGTGCACACCACCACACCCAGCTAAATTTTTTAAAAAATTGTTTTTCGTAGAGCCAGCAGTCTCACTATGTTGCCCAGGCTGGTCTCAAACTCCTGGCTTGAAGTGCTCTTCCCGCCTTGGCTTTCTCAAAGTGCGAGGATTACAGGCAAGAGCTACTGCACCTGGCCCTGCCTTGTTTGAGAAGTCTCTTCTACCCTAAAGTCACAGTTACCGTTCTAAACTTCTCCCCAATATACTTTTGTTTTATTTTTTAAAATTTCAATCTTTAATGTTTCTAGAATTTATTTTGGTATATGATAAAAGGTACAGGCCTAACTTTATATCTTCCATATAGCTGGCCAGTTATTTCCAGTTCTTGTTAATTTATGAATGAACCCATCCTTTTCCTGAAAAGGAAATATCACCTTTATAATATATTAATATTCTCTATATAGTTTCATTTTTCTGGATTCTCTTTTTCTTTTTTGTGCTAATACTATATTTTTTGTCTGATTTTTTTTTTTGGCTACTCTTTGTAGCAGCTTTGTGGTAAGTTTTTACTCTCTAGTAAGACAAATTGTCTACTCCTGACCTCTGTTTTCTTTTTCTAATATGTCTTAACAATTCTTACATATTAATTTTCCTATATGAACATTGAAATCACTTATGTTCTCAAATTATATTTTAAAGTAGCAGGTTCTATATCTTTCTTTAAAGAAAATTTCTTTAAAACTGTATTTAAAATTTAAAAATTATTTTAAATTAAATTGAATTCTAATTTGATTTTGTGAATTTTCTTTAAAATTTATTTCTACGCATTTTATCATTTCTGTTACTCATGTTGGTTGTGGTAAAAACCTTTTAGAGTAGATTATAGGAATTCTTCTGCCAAAGCAGTTTATGTTGTTTCTTCCATGTAAAATTGATGACCCTTGGTCCCAGGAGTGTTTTTGTTTTGTTTTCTGCTGTATGTGGATTGAATAGGAAGAGGAAAGCAGGAAAGAGAGGTTACATTAGCTATGACTAAAATTTTCTAAGAATTCAGTTCTCAGCTAGTTCACATTACTGAGGGATTATCAGAGACTGAATAAAATTCTTAATTTTATTCTTCATTTTTTGCAGCATGTATTAAGTGGAATACTTATATCAATTTCACTCAATTTAAAATGTTTATAAGCTCTCAGAATGCCTGGTCTGATGGCCAGGTTTGTTAGATTTAAGTACGTCCTGCAATGAATATTTTCTTTCAAAAGTCCTTAAATTGTGGCCGGGCGCGGTGGCTCACGCCTGTAATCCCAGCACTTTGGGAGGCTGAGGCAGGAGAATGGCATAAACTCAGGAGGCGGAGCTTGCAGTGAGCAGAGATCACGCCACTGCATTCCAGCCTGGGCGACAGAGAGAGACTCCGTCTCAAAGAAGTCCTTAAGTTGTATGTACTCAGGCTCTTTGATTTAGTCAGTGGGTATTTATTGAAGATCTTTTTTGTTCACAAAATGCTGTAACATTACTTGAATATTGTTTGTATTCAAAATCACCTATACTCACTCTGGGTGAAAAAAAAAGAACAACATTTTAATTAGTACAGATAACCAGATAGTCCATTCAGTGAACACCAACCCTAGACAATTAATACAATTAAGCCTGGCTAATCTTATGGAAAAAAATGTGAATGACTTTACAGGGCTCTCCACCACTGATGAGAACTGAATCTCATTATTCCAAGTGATGGCCAGGCTGCGGGGTGATAATGACTTTGACAACATTTTAGCGGAAGAAATTGAAGAATTAATTAAGGGTTGTAGAGAAGAACTGACCAAGGAGAACTCAGGGGACAAACTGAAAAAAAAAAAAAAAAACACAAAACCTTGCTCATAGAGTTGTATAAAGAAAATCATATATATATATATAATCTTTTGGGTGGCTTTTCCAGGGCATTTTTAACTTTTGTATACAGGTCAACTTGAGAATTTAATTCCTGTGAAGGATAAGAATGGTGGGAAGGTGCCAAGAATTATGAAAGACATAGGAAAATATATAACATAGTTTCTGCCTTCAAGAAACTTCAAGGAGCAATATATTTAACGGGGTCATATTAGATATGTAAACATAAAATAATACACTATATCATGAATGACAAAATGTGTGGTCAAATCATTATATGTAATTGTAGAAAGAACTGTTGAATGAATGAATGGACATAGACTATCCAAACATTAGAAATTTATACGCTCATTAAACCTGATTTTGTATCTAGAATGTATTCAATTTCTAGCAATCTTCCTTAAAGAACAAAATTGCAAAATTAAAAAAAAAGTTTATTATCTTAAAAATTCAACTGGTGATAAAGTGAAAGGTAAAAGTTCTCCATCTCTTCCTACTCTTATTTACCAGCCCGCTCCCAGAGATGTTTACAGCTTAGGTATCCATCCCAAAACTTTGTATACCATATACACACACATACTTTCAAACAAGGATACTACAGTCCTTCTTAAACTTTTTCAGTATTTCATTTCAGTACCCGCTGATCTACTTCATTACTTTTAGTGCCCGCAGCGTCAGTATATCAGATGCTAAAGTATCATAACTTACATGTATTTAACCCCTTCCTTATTTGTAGACACAGATTATTTTCTATCTTCCACTGTTAAAAACAGTACATCAGTTAATAGCTTTACACACCCCCTGTGTCAGATTACCTGTAGCATAGGTTCTCAGAAATCTAGTAAACCTTTCAAACTGTATTTTTTTTTTTTTTTTTTTTTTTTTTTTGAGACAGAGCCTCGCTCTGTCGCCCAGGCTGGAGTGCAGTGGCGCAATTTCTGCTCACTGCAAGCTCCGTCTCCCGGGTTCACACCATTCTCCTGCCTCAGCCTCCCGAGTAGCTGGGACTACAGGCGCCTGCCATCACGCCCAGCTAATTTTTTGTACATTTAGTAGAGACGGGGTTTCACCATGTTAGCCAGGATGGTCTCGATCTCCTGACCTCGTGATCCACCCGCCTCGGCCTACCAAAGTGCTGGGATTACAGGCGTGAGCCACCGCGCCCGGCCCTCAAACTGTATTTTTGACAAAGGCTAAAGGTATGCTGTCATGGTTTGGTTTGTACTGATCCGTTTAGGTAATTCAATGTTATTAGATGTGAGGATGATCTGGTGGCAACATCAATCACAGCCATAAAGGTCAGAGTTATTTAGCGCCCCTCACCCCCTAGCATTTCCAGTCCTTCCTTTAGTTTCTGGAAGCTCCCAGATGTCTCTTCAGAAGCTTAAGACGTTTTGGATCAAAGACATACTGTGGTCCTCGATAAAGGAAAAGATACTGTTGTTTCAATAATCTCACGGGACAATACTTAATAATCTCGTAAAGTGAGCCCTTATCTGAGGGGGGAAATAAAATTTATTGCCTTCTAACACCATCAAATAGTTTATTTGAGACCAGGAATTGGTCCGACCACTTATTTTCAACTTTTGGCTGAATACGGGTGAACTTGGCTTTTTGTTTTCCCTAAACCCAGGACAGAAATAAATTAAAAGCCCTGACTGTGCCGGGATAGGACTGAGAGGCCCAGGAAAGGCTGCACTAAGTACTTGGAGGGTTTGTTTTTTTCCTTCTTGCTGCTGCTGCTGTTTCCTCGAGGATGAAGGGAAAGATAAAACCCTCCTGCCTCCGTTCGTGCTTTCATTCGCCCCATTCCTCGAAGGTGACGAAACTTCAGCACATCTCTGTCCATTTTGGAAAAAAGAGGATCCCCTCAAGAGCAAATAGGCGGAAACAATGACCCCGCGCCCGGAGTTTTTCTGAGCTCCTAAATAGGGAGAGAGACCCGACAAAACAAACAAGCGAAGGCGACACAGCCAGGTTAGCACCGAGCAGCAGCGCAGGAGCGCCAGAAGGGCGGGAGCACACGGGCCCTTCCCCACAGCCAGCGCCTCCGCGGGTCCCACCCCTCGAGGGCGGGGCCGACCGCTCTTTCCGGGTTTGCGAGCGGAAGTGGACGAATTTGAATCCTGTGGGCCGTTGAATGTGGCTGCTCGCGGTCGGCGTGCCCCGACGTACAGCGGGCCGGGAAAAGTGGCACTGAGGCTCTGGAACTTCTGCCCAGCTCTCCTTGGTGAGTAAATGGGGAACGGGAAGACGCAGAACGTTCCAGAGAGAGAAGCAGGACCGTGGGGTGGGAGAGGGTGTCAGGAGGCCGGACGTCGCAGCCGGGGCCTCGCAGTGCTTTTGGGGACGTCTGGTGCTGGGGCCCGGCCTGGAGACTAAGGGAATTCGGGGCACTGGGGGCGTTTGCTGGACCAGCGCTCTCGACGGTTGCGCACGCCAGCCAGCTCTCAGTGTTGAGGATTCGGAGGCCCTGCCGGTCCCCCGCGAGTAAACCTTGTTTATACGCATCCTCCGTGGCTTTTTTTAAACCCGTAGTTTATTATTTCCACCAATTCGGCTCGAATGCTGAAATTTTAACAGTAGTTAAATCTCACTGTGAAGGCGTTGCCACGTTTAAACAAATCTCTTTTAATGAAAGATGGAAGGTTGGGGCGGGTTTAGAATGAAAAGATGCTCTACGTGGCTCCGCGTTCCTCCTGAGAGAGATACCCGGGCAACCTTGATTAACTCTGGACTGCAGGGAAGTGACAGTCTTTGAAATGCCTGAGTGGGATTTAAACTGAAATTCGAGTGTCCTTTGTATTTAAAACCCGGATATTTTTCTTTCACGGTTGACATTTTTCATGTACCGCAAAAATCCGAGACTCCTATTTAAACCGGCTGTGGTAACAGCGGTGGTGATTAACTAGGGTCTTAGTTTGCAAACAATAGGGATAAGGTTTAGTTCCACCGCCCTGCCTTTTCGCCTCCCTCATTCATTGGCCAACTGGGTTATTATGGAGTCTTTTTGGAAGTAATCCACTAATGCTTTGAGCATCTGTTTCTTTGGGTTTTATTGTTTTGGGCTTTTTTTTTTTTAATTTTTAATGATGAACTATCTGAAATATGGAACTCTGTCTAACCCAGTAGTAAAGTCATGCCTTCTGGAATGGTTTAAAAGTGTGCCATAAATGTAAACTATAAATGGGAACTTTAAATGTGTACAAGTTTTACATCTTTATTAAAAATCGTCAGTTTTGTGTAGCTTAATACGAAAAGATATTTTAAGTTCCTTTTAAGGTTTTAACACCAGGATATTGTACCATTTAAATGTATAAATATATTTTTAAAAGTAGGACTTCATAATAATCAGAATAAAAACATTCCTTCATCCAGTGCTGGCTATTCCAGCACCCCCATTCTTCCTGCTATTGAACTTTTAAGTGTTAGCCAGGAAGAATAGACTTAAATACTCGGTGTTTAGGATAGTTAAAATATGAGCATTTTTCATATAGTGTCTTTGTAACAGAGACATTGGCTATACTTCTCTAAGCCTTTCTGCTCATTTCATATGTGCTGTCAACAAATGGTAATTTTTAAAAATTGATCGCTATATCCTAATCTCTTTATTTTTTTCTACCTGAATTATTTTCATTGGATTTTTGCTCTTTCTTAAATCAGTGAGTTTCAGAATTTATTGTGTATACACTACCTTGAAGGATTTGTTCAACAATGCTGATTCCTGCACTTCAGATCTCAGATTCTGAATCAGTAGGTCTGGAGGATGGCATTGAACAGTCTGCATATTTAACTGAAAGGTTAGAAAATACTGTGAGTTTTCAAAACACTGATTTGATCTTTCCTAGAAAGGCATTATAATGTGTTGATTAAAGACATGGAACTGGGGCCAGATTGCCTTGGTTTGAAGCCCATCTCCACCACTTGATAGCTAGGTGACCCTGGGCAAGCTGTTTAACCTCTCTGCTTCATTTCCCTCTACCGTATGATGAGGTTACCTACTTTGTAGGATTATTGTGAGGATTGAATGAGTTAATATATACAAAGACCTTAAAATAGTGTGTGCCACATAGCAAATGATACATAAGTCTCCAATTACATTGAGTTACTAAACTGTAAAAACCGCATCACATACATTCTCTCATTAATCTTTACAATATCGCTGAGGTAGTTACTATCTTCAAATAAGAAAACAGGCTAAGAGGGGCTCGGTAATTTGTTCTCACACAACTAGTAACACGTTGGAACTGAAGTCGGAAATTAGATTTAACTCAAAAGTTTATGCTTTTTTAAAAAAGTAATATTTCTTGCCTCTCTTCAGTCTCCCTCCAGATGTTGCTCCATAAGTATCTCTGATGGCTTCTCATTGTCTACCATATATAATTCAAATTTCTTAGCTTTGCTTTTTATTTACAGAGCCCTTCAGAGTCTGGTACCAACTTCTCTTCCCAAGGACCATCTTCATAATATTACACCAGTCTCTTCCAACCTGCTGATGTTCTATCAATACTACTAGAATTCTCCAAATCTATCTCTTATTACATTTTATGCATATTTAGCCATTGGCCTTTTTATTTCCCCTTAAGATTTTACTCAAATGGGTTTAAAGACTTCTCCAGGCTGTGCTTTTTGCTTATAAATATATAGTGCGAGACTGCCCTTGTCCTTTTAATTTTTATGTCTGCAGTGCACAGTGCAGAACAGTGAGTGTCATGATACTCTGAAACTGTGTATGTTCAGTGAGTACTTATTATTTTAACAATTTAACACATTTTGTCTTGGGTTAATGACTCAAAAAGTTGTTGCTTTTTTTTTTTTAAGGCTTGGCTTTTTTCTGAGATGATAGCATATAATTCTGTGTAGTTTAGTAGAGATTTTAGTGATAGCATATGGTTTATAAACTATGGAAAAATAAGTATTGAAATTATAGGCTCAGAGGACATTTCAAGTGGCAAAAAATCAGGAGCAATGTTTGTTAATATTCATGAATTTAAAATGCTTTATACATATTTTCTCACTTAATCCTCACAACCATTTTATTATCTCTATATTAAGATGAAGAAACTGAGGCACCAAAAGATTTAGTAGCTTTTAAAATGTATTTTTAAAATATTTAATTTCCTCTTGTGTGGGCGGCAAGCCACCCAGGTGCCGAGGCAAGAGACTGGGGGCACGAGCTGTTCCAGTATAATAAAATAATAAAATAAGAATAGTTATACTAGATATAGATCTTAGATATGATTATATATGAATATCATTAATCATTAGTTTGTAGCAATTACTCTTTATTCCAATATTATAATAATCCTCGCTCTACAATCATAACCTAGGAAAAACCAGGCCATACAGAGATAGGAGCTGAGGGGACATAGTGAGAAGTGACCAGAAGACAAGTGTGAGCCTTCTGTTATGCCCGGACAGGGCCACCAGAGGGCTCCTTGTTCTAGCGGTAACACCAGCGTCTGGGAAGACGCCCGTTGCCAAGAGGACCATGGTCTAGCGATAGCGTCAGTGTCAAGGAAAAACACCCGCTACTTAGCAGACCGGGAAAGGGAGTCTCCCTTTCCCCGGGGGAGTTTAGAGAAGACTCTACTCCTCCACCTCTTGTGGAGGGCCTGACACCAGTCAGGCCCACCCGCAGTTACCTGGAGGCCTAACCGTCTCCCTGTGGTGCTGTGCTTCAATGGTCACACTCCTCGTCTGCCTTCATGTTCCATCCTGTACACCTGGCTCTGCCTTTTAGATAGCGGTAGCAAATTAGGGAAAGTACTAAAAGTCTTTGATATGCAGAAATAATGGTGTAAGCTGTCTCTCTCTCTGCCTCGGCTGCCAGGCAGGGAAGGGCCCCCTGTCCAGTGGACACGTGACCCACGTGAACTTACCTATCATTGGAGATGGCTCACTGCCCCTTTGTCTTGTATCCAATAAATATCAGCACAGCCTGGCATTTGGGGCCACTACCAGTCTCCGTGTCTTGGTGATAGTGGTCCCCCGGGCCCAGCTGTCTTTTCTTTTATCTCTTTGTCTTGTGTCTTTATTTCTACAATCTCTCGTCTCCGCACACGGGGAGAAAAACCCACCGATCCTGTGGGGCTGGTCCCTACACTCTTGGTACAGTTTTTTTTTTTTTTAATTATGAGTGGTATGTTAGATGTAATAAAAAGTATCTTAATTCAAAATGTTAGGGAATTAAAAAACAAAACTTTTCTTTTTCCGTTTGATCACTTAAGACAGTTGCCTAATCTTGCCCACAGCTTTTCTTTAAAAACCTGCCCAACAATGTAGGGACATCATTCTCATGACCAGTAGGTAGGGTTGGTCTAAGGGACATAAAGCCCCATACCACTTAAAGTCCCATACCACTTCCCCAACAAAACTGGTACAGGTATTTATATCAGAGCTGCATATCTGATGCAGGCTAGACCATTCATGTGATTTCTTGATTTTGGAGTTGGGATATCACAAGACTATTGGAAGCCAAGCTGGAAAGGTCTTATGTGTTGCTATGACAGTGGAATCATGAAGAAACATGAAAATGGACATATGGAGCCAATGGGTGGTAGGGTGGGGTGGGGTAGGGGAGGATGACATCTGTTTCCTGGGGACTAGTTATATATTGATAACTTAATGTAAACTTGTAACTTTGTTACTTTTGTGTGTGTGTGTGTGTGTGTGTGTGTGTGTGTGTGTGTGTGTGATATAGAGTCTCACTCTGTTGCCCAGGCTGAATGCAATGGTGGGATCTTGACTCACTGCAACCTCCGCCTTCCCGGTTCCAGTGATTCTCCTGCCTCAACCTCCTGAGTAGCTGGATTACAGGCACCTGCCACCACGCCCGGCTAATTTTTGTGATTTTAGTAGAGACAGGGTTTCGCCATGTTGGTCAGGCTTGTCTCAAATTCCTGACCTCAAGGGATCTGCCCGCTTCAGCCTCCCAAAGTCCTGGGATTACAGGCGTGAGCCACCGCGCCCAGCCATTGCTTTTTATCTTAAACTTATCCTTTTGTTTTAAATAAAAATTGTTAACTTTTAAACAAGTATCTGGTATACAATTTGTATGCAATAAAAGTCACCCATTTTAGGGGTATAGTTCAATGAGTTTTAGTAAATGTATTCTCTTGTATGAATATACCACAGTTTGTTTTATCCATATACATTGTTACAGTTTTTAGTTATCACAAATAAAGTTTCTGTTGACCTTTGTGTACAATGGACATATGCCTTATTTCTCTTGGCTGCATCATATGATAGGTGTACATTTGACCTTTTTTTGAGGTAAAATTCCCATTTATAAAATTAGCCATTTTATTTGAGACAAGATCTCTGTCACCCAAAGCTGGAGCTCAGTGGCACAATCATAGTTCACTGCAGCCTCCAACTCTTGGACTCCAGCTGTCCTCCCACCTCAGCTTCCCAGGCAGCTAGGACTACAGGCATTTGCCACCAAGACTGGCTAATTAAAAATTTTTTTTATAGAGACAGGATATCACCATGTTGTCCAGGCTGGTTGCAAACACCTAGCCTCAAGCGATCCTTCCACCTCAGCCTCCCAAAGTGCTGGAATTACAGGTGTGAGCCACCATGCCCAGTCAAAAATTAGCCATTTTAAAGTAGACATTTCAGTGACAGTACATTCACGATGTTGTGCAACCATCACCTCTACCTAGTTCCAAAACATGTAACCTTTTATGTCTGACTTCCCTCATTTAATATAATGTTTTCAAGGTTATCTATGTTGTAGCATGTTTCAGTACTTTATTCCTTTTTATTGCCACATAATCATTCTATGGATATACCACATTTTGTATATCCATTCATCAATTGATGTATAATTAGGTTGTTTCTTTGTAATGTATTGATTTAGTGATCTCTTTTGTGAATAGTGCTGCTGTGAACATATGTATGCAAGTTTTTGTTTGAACTGAAATATTTCAATTGTTTTGGTTACATAGCTAGTGGAATTGCTGGGTGATATGGTAGTCTTGTTTAATGTGTTGTGGAATTGCCAAACTGTTTTCCACCCTTGCATCATTTTACTTTCCCACTAGCAATATGTAAGGGTTCTAATTTCTCCATATCATCATTAACACTTACTATTTTAGTTTGTAAAAATTATTATTATAGCTATTATAGTGGACATGAAGTGGTGTCTCATTGTGGCTTTGATTTACTTATCACTAATATAATGAGCATTTTTTCATGTGCTGTTGGCCATTTGAATATTTTCTTTGGAGAAATGTCTTCAGATATTTTGTTCATTTTTAAGTTGGATTACTTGTCTTTTTGTTGTTGCATTGTAAGAGTTTCTAATGTATTCTAGATACTAGACCCTTTTCAGGTTATATGATTTCTGAATATTTTTTCCCATTCTGTAGATTGTCATTAGATGCACAAGTTTTATACTTTGGTAAAGTTCAATTTATTTTTTTCTTGTTGCTTGTGCTTTTGGTGTCATATCTCAGAAACCATTGCCAAATACAAGGTCATGAAAATTTACCCCTAGATTTTCATTTAAGAGATTTATAGTTCTGTCTTTTACATTTAGGTCTTGATCCATTTCGAGTTGATTTTTTTTAATGCGTGTGAGGTAGGGGTTCAACTTCATTCCTTTTTTTTTTTTTTTTTTTTTTTTTTTTTGAGATGGAGTCTCGCTTTGTTGCCCAGGCTGGAGTGCAGTGGCACAATCTCGGCTCACTGCAAGCTCCACTTCCTGGGTTCATGCCATTCTCCTGCCTCAGCCTCCCAAGTAGCTGGGACTATAGGCACCCACCACCACACCCGGCTAATTTTTTTGTATTTTTAGTAGAGACTGGGTTTCACCATGTTATCCAGGATGGTCTTGATCTCCTGACCTCATGATCTGTCGCCTCGGCCTCCCAAAGTGCTGGATTACAGACGTGAGCCACCACACCTGGCCAACTTCATTCTTATTTACATGGCTGTCTGGTCGTCCCAGGACCATTTGTCGAAGAGACTGTTTTCTTCCCATTTAATGGTCTTGGCACCCTTATTGAAAATTAGTTTACTATAAAACGTGAGTTTATTTATTGACTCTTTCTTCTTTTCTATTGATGTGTATGTCTGTCCTTGTGCCAGTACCACATTGTCTTGATTACAGTGGATTTGTAGTAAGTTTGGAATTGGAAAATTTGAATCCTCCAACTTTTTCTTTTTGGGGATCCTTTTGACTATTCAGGATCCCTTGCAGTTTAGGCTTAGCTTTTCCATTCCTGCAAAAAAAGGCCATCGGGATTTTGACAGGAATTGTATCAAATCCATAAATTGCTTTGGGGAGTATAACCATCTTAATGAAATAGTTTTTCAACCTATGGATGCAAAATGTCTTTTCATTTATTTACAGTTCTTTAATTTCTTTCAGCACTGTTTTGTAGTTTTCAGTGCAAAAATCTTGCACCACCATGGTTAAATTTATTACTAAGTAATTTTTATGCTATTGTAAATGGAATTGTTTACTTAATTTCCTTTTTGGATTGTTCATTGTTATATAGAAATACAACTGATATTTGTGTGTTGATCTTGCATCCTGTAACTTAGCTGAATTCGTTTAGTAGCTCTAACAGTTTTTTGTGAATTCTGTAGGAAATTCTACATATAAGATCATGCCTTCTTTGAATAGAGTTACTTCTTGCTTTCTTGCTTTATTATTCTGAATAGACCTTCTGGTTCAGTGTTGACTACAAGTGGTGGAAGTGTGTATCTTTGTTTTGTTCCAGATCTTAGGTGGAAAGTGTGCAGTCTTTCACTGATAATTATGTTAATTACAGGTTTTTCCATAGATGCTGAGGAAGTTCCCTTATATTCCTAAATGTTTGAGTGTTTTTATCATCAATGAGTTGTATTTTGTCAAATGCTTTTTCTGCATCTATTGAGATGAGCATGTGACCTTTTCCTTTTTCTCTATTAGTATGGTATATTATATTGGTTGATTTCCATATGCTGAACCACCTTTGCATTTCTGGGATAAATCCCACTTGGTTATGGTACAAAATTTTCTTTATCAGAATCAGTTTGCTGGTAGTTTGTTAAGGATATTTGCATCTATGTTCATAAGAGATAATTGGCTTGTAGTTTTATTTTCTGTGATGTCTTTTTCTGGCTTTGGTATCGGGGTATTGGTGGCTTCATAAAATGAGTTAGGAAGTGTCATAATATCTTTTGGAGGGGTTTGAGAAAGATTGGTGCCAATTTTTCTTCAAAGGTTTAATAGGGTTCACCAGTGAACCCATCTGGGCTAGGACTTTATTCGTTGGGAGGTTCTTCATTAGTGATTCAATCTCTTGTTTGTAGATTTGTTGAAATTTTCTATTTCTTCTTGTCACTTTTGTTATTTGTTTAACCTATTGTTTAATTTGTTAACTTTTAACTTCTTAGAGTACAATTGTTCATAATAGTCTCATTTAATTCTTTTTATTTGTATTAGGTCTGTAGCAGTGTCCCACTTTCATTTCTTCTGATTTAGTAATTTGAGTCTTCTCTTTTTTTTCTCTGGGTCATCTAACTAAACGTTTTCAATTTTGTCGATCTTCTCAAGCAATTTTTATTTTATTGATTCTCAATTTAAAAATTTTTTTATTACATTATCTGGACTCTAAATTATTTCCTTCCTTCTGCTAGCTTTGGGTTTAGTTTGGTCTTTTTCTAGTTTCTTTGGGCATATAGTTGGGTCATTGTTTTGGGGGCTTGATTTTATTTGTCTCTAAGTATTTTCTAATTTCCCTTGTGATTTCTTTTTTGACTTTTTGTCTATTTAAAGTTGTTATTTAATCTCCATATGTTTCTCAGTTTTCCAGTTTTCCTTTTATTGATTTCTAGTTTCATTCCATAGTCATTGGAGAGGATATTTTGTGTGATTTCAGTCTTGTAAAATGTATTATTTTGTGGTCTAACATGGTATATCCATGGATATTGTTCCACGTGCATTTGAGAAGAATGTTTCATTCTGTTGTAGGGTGGAGTGTTCTGTATATGTTAAGTCTAAACTATTTCTCCTTTCATTTCTGTCAAATTTTGCCTTGTATATTTTGGGGCTCTTATTAGGTGGGTTTGTGTTTATAATTGTCATGTCTTCTTGATGGATTGAACTTTTTAGTCAGTCTTTAATGTCCTTTGAGTCCTGTAACAATCTTCAACTTAAAGCCTGTTTTGTCTGACATTAGTATAAACACCCAAGCTTACTTTTGATTACTGTTTGTATGAAGTATCTTATTCTGTCATTTTACTTTCCATCTATTTGTGTTTTGATATCTATAGCTTGACCCTAGTAGATAGTGTATGTATGGATTTTAAAAAAATTCATTCTGTCAACCTTTGCCTTTTAATTGGAGCGTGTAATTCATTTACATTTAATTACTGTTAAGGAAGGATTTCTGACATTTTAGTATTTGTTTTCTAAATACTATCTTTCTGTTCCTCATTTCCTTCCTTATTGCCTTTTGTTTAATTGATTTGTATAGTGTACCATTTTGATTCCCTTCTCATTACCTTTTCTGCACATATTTTTTAGTTATATTCTTAGTGGCTATCTTGGGGATTACAATTAATATCTTAAACTTATAACAACCTAGTTTGAATTAATACCCACTCAGCTTTCATAGTATACAAAAATTACACTTCTGTATATCTCATCCTTCTTCCTAAATGTTATTGTGTCAAATTACATTTTATATTTTTTGCTTATTTTACATTTATACATAATGTGCCCAATAACATTGATTTATATTTATTTTACGTGTTTTTCTTTTAAATCATAAAGGAAAAAGAGAATTACCAAAAGTGCAATAATACTACTGGCTTTTATATTTACTTCTGTAATTACCTTTACTGGTGTTTTTATTTCCTCGTATGGCTTTGACTTACTGTCTGGTGTCCCATTAGCATCTCTAGTAGGACAGATCTACTAAAAGTTTCCCTTTCACCCTAGACCCCAGGTCTACCAGACCTTCTGAGAAACAGCCATTCTTGTCTGTCTCCTGGATGATTTTCCAGAGAATATAAGCTTTTAAGAAACTTTTTATTGAGGTATAATATATATGCCAAATATATTTTAAGTACATAATTATGTTCATTGTAAAAAGTCAAACAATGCCAAAATTTATAAGAAATTAAAAGAAAAAGCCCCTACCCCTTCTCTCTCCCCAGGGATAACCACCATTAACAGTTAGGGACCTAAAAACTTTATGGTCTTTCTTGATCTCAGAAACTTCTGATCTTTCTGAATTCCTTTCACCCTTCCTTCTCTCCATCGAATTACTTCTCCTGCTTTGCATATAAGAACCCTAATAGGTAGGTATTATCATCTCCATTGGACACAAGGCAGAGCAAGGAGTTCAAACACAGAAAATGTATAATTCAAGTGTAATGTTCTTTCTGCCATGTTCCTCTGCCTGGGTCCTGCCTGGAATCTTAAAAGTTTAATTGCTCTGTCACATAAGGTAGCAGATACATTGTCCTGTTAAAATATAATTAAGGCCTTATTTTTTAGACAGGAGAAGACCTGGTTCTGTGGGAGTTGTGACAGAATAGCCTTTATTGCCTGAACTGTAGTAAAAAAGATGCCACCTGCTTTAAGAAGGGTACTTTGGATTGGGCTGGTTATTTAGAGCCTGACTTGGTCAGTGGAAGGGGCTAGGACTGGAATAAGACCTGCCCACGAAGTCAGGGTTAGGACCAGCTGGTGAAGGGGGGGGATTATATTACTTACTATCTGATAATCCAATCCAAGGAGATTTATATAATCCAACCAAATGGCAGAATCAGCAAGAGCAACTTCCAGAAGAAATTCCTGACATTCCCCAAACATCCCAGGCTTTCACACACTGTTGTACCTTTGCACACACTCTACTTAGAATGCTTTTTCTGCCTTGTCTGCTCAGAATATTTATTTTTCACAATTACGTTATAATATCACCACCTCTGTAAGGCTACACTGCATGTGTGTGAAATATTTGTTTACTTGCCTGCCTCCCATGTGAGTATGTGTACTCATCTTCACTTTTGAAACATAGTTTTGCTGCAGATAGGATTCTTTGCTTACAGGTTTGGGTTTTTTTCCTGTCTTTCAGCACTTTAAATATGTCATCTCACTGCCTTCTGGAACTCTATGGTTTCAAATGAGAATTTGGCTCTTAATCTTATTGGGGATATTTTGTATGTGTTAATCACTTCTCTCTTGCTGCTTTCAAGATTCTTTGTCTTTGTTTTTGTCAGTTTGACTATACTGTGTCTCAATGTGGATCTCCTAGAATTTGTCCTGATTAAAGATCTTGAGCTTCTTAAAAATGTGTAGATTGAAGTCTTACCTGTATAGATTTCAGTCTTCCATGAAATTTGGGAAGTTTTTGGCTATTATTTCTTCAAACATTCTTTCTGTTCCACTTTCTCCGGTCCCTCTTGGACTCCTATTAAGCATATATTGGTATACTTGATGGTGTCTCATAGTCTCTTGGGCTCTGTTTATTTTTCATTTTTTTTCTTTCTGCTCTTCAGACTGGATAATTTCAACTAACCTGTCTTCAAGTTCGCTGATTCTTTCTCCTGCCTGCTCAAACGTGCTGTTAAACCTCTGTAATGAATTTATTATTTCAGTTATTGTACTTTTCAGCTGCAGAATTTCTATTTCCTTTTTATCATTTCTACTTCTTTATTGATATTCTCTATTTGTTGAGACATTGTTGATTGTGAGTTTTTTGCCAGGTTTTTCTGTGTTTCTAGGGAGGTACAGGCCTGCAGAGCCCCTTGCTCCACCATTTTCGTGGATGTGTTCTGTATTACTAAGTTTGAAGAGTTTTTTCAGAAAATATATTGTGGATCTAACTAAGTCCTTTATCAGATTATGATTTGCAAATACTTTCTCAGTCTGAGGCTTGTCTTATTCTCTTAACAGTGTCTTTTGATGAGCAGAAGATACTAACTTTAAGTACAGTTTATCTTTTTTTGTCTTGTGCTGTCAGTATTGTATCTAAGAAATCTTACGTAACATAAGGTCACAGAAATTTTCTCCTCTGTGTTTTTTCTAGAAATTTTATAGTTTTACATTTTGTATTTAGAGCTGTAATTCATTTTGAGTTCATTTTTTGTGAGACAAGTATTCTTGTGGGTGCTGTAGTGGGTTTGCTTTTTTTTTTTTGCTATTTTAATGTGCATTTCCTTTATGACCAGTGATGTTCATATTTTCTTTTGCTTGTTGGCTATGTTGTGTTTTTTTTAAATGTCTGGTCAAATCTTTTGTCCATTTTGTTCATTTTATTGTGATGTCTATTTGAGTTGTAAGCATTCTTTATGCATTGTGGATATAAATCCTTTGTCAGGTATATGTTTTGCCAGTGTTTATTCCCAATCTGTGTTTTGCCTTTTTCTTTGCTTAACTATGTTTTTTTGATTAGAAAGTTCTTAATTTTGATGTTTAATTCATCAGTGTTTTTTATGATTCAGTTTCCTAAGAAATCTTTGCCAAACCCCAAGATCATGAAGATTCTTCACTATGTTTTCTTCTAGAAGTTTTTTTTCTTGTGATCCAATTTGAATTAAGTTTTAATATATGAGGTCAATGTTCTTCCCCCCACCCTCCGCCCAAAGCATTCAGTTATTTCAATACTATTTATTGAATAGACTACCATTTGAATACAGTGAATTACCTTGGTATCTTTGTTGAAAAGCAATTGTCTGGGTCTGTTTCTGGCCTTTCCCTTGTGTTCTATTGAGCTATATATCTGACTTTTCCCTTATGATCTATTGAGCTACACATCTGTCTTGATTAACATAGCTCTATAAGAAGTCATGAAATCACATAGTTGGAGACCACTTTTTCTTTTTAAAAATGTTTTTGCTATTACAAGACTTTTGCATTTTTATATAGGTTTTAGAATCAGCATGCCAGTATCTTAAAAAAAAAAAAAACCTGCTGGGGATTTTGGTTGGGATTGTGTTAAATTGACATCTTAACAATATTACGCCCATGAGCATTGTCTATCTCTTCATTTATTTAGGTCTTTCATTTCTCTCAGCAGTGTTTTGTAGCTTTTCAGAGTGTAGTCTTTTTCCACATCTTTTACTAAGTTTTTACCTATTGTGAATAGAATTGTTCTCTAATTTTCTGATTAATTCTTGCTGTTATACAGATTTGCCTTGTTTCATTACAACTTGTTAAAGTCACTTATTCTTATAAATATGTTGGTAGGATTTTCTATGTAGATGATCATATGTGAAAACAGTTTTACTTCATCCTTCACAGTTTTGTCTTCTTTTCCCTTGGAGTACACTGTTGAATCAGAGACTAAGGTGAACGTTTGTAGATTCCCTTCGCTAGGTTGAAAAAATTTATTTTACCCACAGTTTGCTTTACAGTTTTGTTATGATTGGATATTGACATTTGTCAGATGCCCTTTTGTATCTGTTGACATTGTGTCACAGTACAGTGTGGAAATTAATGCACATTTGTAGATGCCCTTTATTAGGTTGAGAAAATTCCCGTCTGTTTCTGGTTTGTCCTACAGTTTTATCATGATTGGTTGTTGAATTTTGTCAAATGCTCTTTCTGCATCTATTGAGATGGTCATACTTTTTTCACCCCTTATTGTATTAACATGGTGTATTACTTTACTTTTCAGATGATATCTAATCTTATATTTCTAAGATAAATCCAGTTAAGATATATTATCCTTTTTTTTTTAATTAAAAGAAAAACTACCAATGATTGACTAAATTTGCCAGGTACTCTTGTGGCGTTTATGTGTTGTTTCTAATTCTTACAATAACCTGTAATTAGCTTCTAGTTTGAGGGATGATAAAATTGAGGCTGAGGTCTCAGGAAAAAACATATAGAACATGAAGGAAAGTCTAAACTTCATACCTTCAATGCCCCTAGTACTCTTTCTACTATACCATGCTACTTTTTGTAATAATTTATGGTTAAAAAACATTGAAGATCATATTGATGTTTTATGTACTTTTTTTTTGGATGGAGGTCTCACTATGTTGCTCAAGGTGGACTCAAATTCCTGGGCTCAAGCAATCCTCCTGCTTCAGCCTTTCAAGTAGCTGGGACTACAGGTGCATAACACTGTGCCTGGCTTTTATGTACATTTTTAAGATATGTTTATTATTTCCTAGAATGTAAATAATTGATTCATGAAAAAAAAATTCTAATAGCTTTTGACCTCTACCATTGAATGTCTTTCTTCTAATTTTATCTTAGCTGTTGCTGTGAACCAAAGTAACTAACAAATCTTTAAGAGTATTTCTTTTTGTCTCCAAATTTGTAGGAGCACATAAAGTGTATTAACTATCTATCCCGAGGTAACATGGGTGTATTAGTCACAGTTCTCCAGAGAAACAGAAACAACAGGATATGTGTGTGTGTGTGTGTGTGTGCGTGTGTGTGTGTCTCTGTGTGTGTAGAGAAGGAGAGGGAAGGATTGATTAATTTATTATAAGGTATTGACTCACATGATTATGTAGTGTGAACAGTCCCATTATCTGTTTGCAAACTGGAGACCCAGGAAAGTCCCGCAGTGTAGTTTGAATGTCTGGAGCCAAACAGCTGATGGTATAGGTTCCAGTCCGGATCTGAAGGCCTGAGAACCAGGAACACCAAGGACAGAAGATTGATGTCCTACCTCAAGCAGTCAGACAGCAAATTTAACCTTTTTCTGCCTTCTGGTTTTATTCAGGCCCTCAGTGGACTAGCTAATGTCTACCCACGCTGGGGATGGCCATCTGCTTTGCTCAGTTCACCAGTAAACTGAGTAAAGTTTACCAATCTTTTCCAGAAACACTCTCACAGACACATCCAAACATAAGTTTAACCAGATATCTGGGCGTCCTGTGGCCTGGTAAAGGTAACACATAAAATTAACCATCACACTGTATTAATCTTGATCTTGAATTTTTTGGGAATGTTTTATATTACTTTTAATTCAATTATTTTTAAACCTTTTTTTATTTTGAAATTATTCTAAAGTTACAGGAAAGTTGCAAGAAAAGTACAAAGAACTACATATGCCCTTACCTAGATTAACCACTCTTTATTATTTTCCACATTCACTTTATCATCCTGCAGTATTGTACATTTGCATGTAACTTCCCTTTTCTGAACCGTTGGAGAGTAGGTTGCATATATCTGGTCCCCCTACCCCTTAATGCTTCAGTATTTCCTAAGAACAGTGATAGTCTACTAAATAACCTAAATATGGATACCAATTTCAGGAAACTTAGCATAAATACAATACTTTCAACTAAATATTGTTTTGGTCAATTGCCTCGGTGATGTCCTTTGGAGCAGTTTTATTCCCCAGTGCAGGATACAGTCCAGGATCCTTCATGCATTTGTAGTAAATAAAATACAGTTCATCTTTTTTTTTTAACTTTTTTTTTTTTTTAGGTTTGGGGGTACATGTGAAGGTTTGTTACATAGGTAAACAACATGTCATGGGGGTTTGTTGCACATATTATTTCATCACCCAGGTATTAAGCCCAATAGCCAATAGTTATCTTTTCTGCTCCTCTCCCTCCTCCCACCCTCCTGCGTCAGGTAGACCCCAGTGTCTCTTGTTTCCTTCTTTGTGTTCATGAGTTCTTATCATTTAGCTCCCACTTACAAGTGAGAACATGCGGTATTTGGTTTTTTGTTCCTGTATTACTGTGCTAAGGATAATAGCCTCCGGCTCCATCCATGTTCCTGCAAAAGACATGATCTTACTCTTTTTTATGGCTGCACAATATTTTATCGTGTATTTGTACCCTATTTTCTTTATCCAGTCTGTCACTGATGGGCATTTAGGCTGATTCCACGTCTTTGCTATTGTGAATAGTGCTGCAGTGAACATTTGTGTGCATGTGTCTTTATGGTAGAATGATTTATAGTCCTCTGGCTATATACCCAGTAATGAGATTGCTGGGTAAAATGGTAGTTCTGCTTTTTGCTCTTTGTGGATTGCCATACTGCTTTCCACAGTGGTTGGACTAATTTACACTACCACCAACAGGGTATAAGTGTTTCCTTTTCTCCACAACCTTACCCGCATCTGTTATTTTTTGACTTTGTGATAATAGCCATTCTGACTGGTGTGAGATGGTATCTCATTGTAGTTTTGATTTGCATTTCTCTAATGATTAGTGATGTTGAGCTTTTTTTCATATGCCTGTTGGTCGCGTATATGTCTTCTTTTGAGAAGTATCTGCTTATGTCCTTTGGCCACTTTTTAATGGGGTTGTTTTTTTCTTGTAAATTAAAGTTCCTTATAAATGCTTTTGATAAAATTCAGCAGCCCTTCATGTTAAAAACTCTCAATAAACTACATATTGAGGGAACATACCTCAAAATAATAAGAGCCATCTATGACAAACCCACAGCCAACATTATACTGAATGGGCAAAAGCTAGAAGCATTCCTCTTGAGAACCGACACAAGACGAGGATACTCTCTCACCACTTCAACATAGTTTTGGGAGTCCTAGCCAGAGCAGTCAGGCAAGAGAAGGAAATAAAGGGCATCCAAATAGGAAGAGAGGAAGTCAAACTATCTCTTTGCAGATTACATGATTCTGTATCTAGAAAACCCCTTAGTCTTGGCCCAAAAGCTTCTCCAGCTGATAAACAACTTCAGCAAAGTTGCAGGATGCAAAATCAACATACAAAATTCACTAGCATTCCTATACACCAAAAACAGCCAAACCTAGAGCCAAATCAGAAAGGCAATCCCATTCACAGTGGCTACAAAAAGAATGAAATACCTAGGAATACAGCTAACAAGGGAGGTGAAAGATCTCTACAATGAGAATTACAAAGCACTGCTCAAAGAAATCAGAGAAAATACAAACAAATGGAAAAACATCCCATGCTCATGTATAGGAAGAATCAATATCATTAAAATGGCTATTGTGCCCAAAACAATTTACAGATTCACTGCTATTCCTGTCAAACTACCAACAACATTCTTCACAAAACTAGAAAAAGCTATTTTAAAATTCATGTGGAACGAAAAAAGAGCACAAATAGCCAAGGCAATCCTAAGCAAAAAGAACAAAGCTGGAGGCATCACATTACCCATCTTCAAACTATACTACAAGGCTCCAGTAACCAAAACAGCATAGTACTGGTACAAAAACAGGCACATAGACCAGTGGAACAGAATACAGAGCCCAGAAATGAGGCCACACATCTACAACCATCTGATCTTTGACAAAGATGACAAAAAACAAGCAATAGGGAAAAGACTCTCTGTTTATTAAATGGTGCTGGGATATCTGGCTAGCCATATGCAGAAGATTGAAGCTGGACCCCTTCCTAACACCATACACAAAAACCACCTCAAGATGGATTAAAGACTTAGATGTAAAACCCAAAACTATAAAAACCCTGGAAGACAACCTAGGCATTATCATCCTGGACATAAGAATGGGCAAAGATTTCATGACAAGGACTCCAAAACCAATCGCAACAAAAGCAAAAATTGACAAGTGGGATCTAGTTAAACTTAAGGGTTTCTGCACAGCAAAAGAAACTACCAACAGAGTAAACAGACAACCTACAGAATAGGAGAAAATATTTGCAAACTATGCATCTGACAAACATCATGTTTTATTATGCAGTGCTGAATCAGAGAAATTAATTCTTTATTATGTATGGGACATCCATAGACAACATTTCTGAGTTGTAAAAGGAATTTAGAGTACATCGAATAATGCAATGCATAGACTAAGTTGAACCTTTCTGATTAGTGATTTAAATCAAGTCATTTCTATAGCAAGAATGTTCATTTCTTAAAAATGCTAGATTAAAAAAATCAATCAATTTCTCTTTCAAGTGCCTGATTCCAGCATGTTTTCTGTATATTCAATGTCACCTTTTTCAGTAAGATTAGGCACTTTAGAAAATGTTGGATGGGGCCAGGCACGATGGCTCACACCTGTAATCCCAGCACTTTGGGAGGCAGAGGCAGGCGGATCATGAGGTCAAGAGATTAAGACCATCCTGGCCAACATGGTGAAACCCCGTCTGTACTAAAAATACAAAAATTAGCTAGGCGTGGTGGCGTATGCCTGTAGTCCCAGCTACTCGGGAGGCTGAGGCAGGAGAATCACTTGAACCCAGGAGGCGGAGGTTGCAGTGAGCCGAGATTGCGTCACTGCAATCCAGCCTAGCAACAGAGCAAGACTCTGTCTCAAAAAAAAAAAAAAAAAAAAGAAAAAGAAAAAATGTTGGGTGGTTAGGATCTGTTTATTTATTCAAATGTTAGCCATCAGCTGGAATGAGAAGGAATTTGACTTACTTTTTTTGTGTTAGTTATCTGTTGTCGTGTAACAGATAACTCCAGAACTTGCTGGTTTTAAACAATAAACATTTAATTACTGATAGTTTCTGTTGATCAGGGATTTGGGAGCTGCTTAGCTGTGTGGTTCTGGCTTAGGGTCTTGTATGAAGTTGCTCTCAGGCTGTTAGCCAAATTGCAGTCGTATGAAGGCTTGATTGGGGCTGGAGGATTCACTTCTAACATGGCTTATTCACATAACAGAAGGTAGAATGGCCTCCATTCCTTACCAACTGGGTGTCTCCATGGTGTATGTTGAAAATTTTTATGACATGGCAGCTGGCTTCCTCCATAGCATGTGATCCATGATAGTGAGGAGGAAGTCACAATGCCTTTTATGACATTGTCATTTCTGCCACAGTCTTTTTTGTTGAAGCAAGTTAGCAAGCACTAAGCACATCTACAATCAAGGAGAGGGGCAGGCTTTACCTTTTGAAGGAAGAAGTATGAAAGTGTATCACTGACTGATCAAGTAGAGGTAAGCAGTGGAGGACACTCAGAATACCTTTTGACAGAAGGTATTAATTAAATTGTTTATTTTCCAGGGAAGGGAATGGTTTTATTTTGTTTCTAAAGTCCAGTCTGTTATTAAGACTTGGACTGTTATTGAACTATACACTTAGATATTATTTTTTTTTAATTCTGCTTGGGAAGTCTTAAAATTCATATTCTTGAAGGAAAACATCTAAAAGAAATTATGAAATTCAACTGAAATATGTGAATAGTACTTATTTTTTTTACTAAGGTTTTGTTTTGGAGACTTGTTTGAAATAAAGTGATCCTCATTCAGGATTTAGAAACAAAAGTTATACTCCACATGCTAGGGATTAGGAAGGCTAATGTGAACTGATCAAAAGTATGAATTATGGAATGCCTTTAGAATAATCAACTTTTAGGTAATTTGATACTGCTATAATTTCAAGCTTAGAGAAAAGTTGTAAGAATGGCATAAGGAACTCCTATATATCCTTTATCTAGATTCACTAAATGTTCATTTTGTGCCATTTGTGTTATTCTTTGTCTCATCCTAGCCCAGTCAGCCTAACACCACCAGGGATAAACCAGTAGTCTGATAAAATTAAGTTTATTGACCCACGCCAGTGAGAGAGAGTGCAAACAAGAGGGACCACAGGGCTTCTTACCAAATGGAGTTACAGTAGATTTTATACAGGATTTTGGAGAAGGATAGCATTTAGGTAAAATTTAAATGCACTACATTTTGTGGTGTCTAGGTTGGATGACAGTGTAAATCTGTATTGTCGAATGACTAAAACATCCTTTATAAATTAAACTTTTTATGTTTAAGTGAAGTACTATTTATCATGTGTTTATGGAATTTTCTGCAATAAATTCATGTGTATGGATGGATTTATGATATGTTGAATTCATCACCAGAGGTTGAACTGTAGAGAAGTCCTTTAAGAGGAGGCATTTTATCTTCCTATTATATTTTATCAATTTTAAGATGGACTCAACCCTTCTACACACACGCTTCTTTCCATATGGATATTCAGTTTTTCTTGTACCATTTGTTTAAAAGATTTTATTTTCCCTCGTTGAATTGCTTTGGTGTCTTTGTTGAAAATGACTGGAAAAATATGGATCTGTTTCTGAGTTTTATTGAGAACTGGTCTTAGATGTATCAGCATGTTTAAAATGATGTTCTATAGATTGTGATCCTCAATCAATTTGTTCACTTAAGGCAGTTCTGTAGTTATTGTTTGAGAATGTATAAACATCAAAAGCGCCATCGTATACCTGTAGAGAATTACTAGTGCCTCTAAAAGGAAGAAAAGAAAGAAAAAAATCCAAGAGACAATAAAGGAGTGCTCCTTTAACCCTACATTAATAGTTGTGGAGAGGAGCTAGGAAAAATAGTACTCTAGACCTACTTAACTCTAAAGCCCCCTTAAAACTGGGCTCTTAGTTGTTTTATACATTCTTTTAAGAATACCAATCTTAATGGCATAGAATATTATTTTGTAAGGAATAAACAAAATATTGAAAGCTTAGAGTCAAAGCCATTTAAGAGATTTGAACTATGACTTTTTAGGAAAGCACAGAAATATATATGAGCAAAACTATGTTTAAATCCAAAACACTTTTTACAGTCAGTATGAAATATAAATTCTAATTGTAAGGAAGCATTGTATAAGTTTAATTTGGTTAATCAGTCTTCATAAAATAATCTGTGTCCTACATTTTGTGGTGTCTTAGATTTGATGAAATCTGATAGCAGTTTGTATTTGTGGTTTTCACTCTTTGATATATAATATTCTGTATTATTTTTTGTTCTCTTTCATTATTTTCACATGAAGTACCATGGTGTAACCTGCAGTCACTCAGTTATGGGTTAGTGTATTCCCACTAACTAACTCCTTGACCTTGGACAGGTGTTTAACCTTTCTGAGAACTGGTTTTTGCAACTATAAATGAGATTATATTTACCTAGTGGCATTATTATGTTTTATTCTTTTCCACTTAAATACCAAGAGATTGCACATACATTGTACTTAAATCTCATTAACATTTCTAGTAGGCTGTTCATATACCCTTGGTGAAGTGAAACTTTAATGTTATTAAGATGTTGGTCTTCTTTTCTTTGATCTTTTAGAGAAAAGTTATATTTCAGTAATGATTATAAGTATTTTTATTTGTTTAACTAGTGGAGAGTGAGGAGATAGGGACAGACCAATGTCTTTCAGTATGTAAATGGTTGAGCACTACCGTACTAGAAGAGGTAACAAGACAGTCAGGTGCCTGCAGCCCTGTATAGAATCCTGGCAAATGCAACAGCCACAAATACGGTATAGACTAATAAAGGATTGTTTTTGTTTTTTTTTGTTGTTGTTTTTGAGATGGAGTTTCGCTGTTGTTGCCCAAGCTAGAGTGCAATGGTGTGATCTTGGCTCACTGCAACCTCCACCTCCCGAGTTCAAGCAATTCTCTTGCCTCAGCCTCCCGAGTAGCTGGGATTACAGGCATGCACCACCACGCCCTGCTAACTTTGTATTTTTGGTAGAAACAGGGTTTCACCATGTTAGCCAGGCTGGTCTCGAACTCCTGACCTCAGGTGATCCACCTGCCTCAGCCTCCCAAAGTGCTGGGATTACAGGTGTGAGCCACCAAGCCCAGCCAAAGGATTGTTTTATAGGCTGCACAAATACGAATGGCATGGCTATTGATGATGTGATTTTTCTTTTTTCCTAAATGATGAACAATTCTGGGTAAAGCTTTGAAGAAAAATTAAATAGAAATTTCCTTGATTGACATAGGAGTTGTAGTTCTGCAAATATAATTTGTTAATATGTAAAATGGGCTTAGGTTCTAGGTTAATTACAAGTAGATTTTTTTAACCTACTTGAATGTCCAGATGGAAATTTGAAAGTCTAGACTATCGTTTGTTGTGTAGGACTGTTTGGAGCATTGCAAGATGTCCTATAATCCTGGCCTCTTTCCACTAAATACCAGTGGTCATCTTAATTGTTTTGACAGCTAAAAAACATTCCCTTCAATTTAAAAAATGTTCCCGACTCTTAACACCCCAGTTGAGAACTACTGATCTTAGATGTATTAAAGGTAAGAAAAATTTAAATACTAGAGTATTAGATGACTTATTTGTCATTATGCATTGACTGCAAGTAATAAAAGTTGTTAATTTGAGACTTTTACAATTAAGATGACTGTATTAATGTTATTTTTCCTAGTAAAATGAATGAAAGTAAACCTGGTGACTCACAGAACCTTGGTAAGTAACTGTATTTAAAATAATTTTATTACAATGAGTGTTTTAAATATGTTACTTAAACATTAGGACTGAAGAGGAATGAATTCCCTGGCACAAGCTTAGTTTGTATGTCCACATACTAAAGTATAATATTGCATATATTTATTTCAACAAAAACCTATCAGAAGGCAATTTATTTGCCAAATTTTATATTTGTTTTATGTATATAAGATATGGTTCGTATCTCAATAAAACAGTTATTTAAAGGAAAAAATGCAGATGAGAACAATTTAAACAGTGTGTAAAAGTTTAACAGGAAAAGGAAAACTGGCCAGGTGCAGTGGCTCACGCCTGCAATTCCAGCACTTTACGAGGCTGAAGCAGGCAAATCACTTGAGGTCAAGAGTTCAAGACCAGCCTGGCCAACATGACAAAACCTCATCTCTGCTAAAAATACAAAAATTAGCCAGGAGGCGCATGCCTGTAATCCCAGCTACTCGCTAGGCCGAGGCAGGAGAATCGCTTGAACCCGGGAGGCAGAAGTTGCAGTGAGCAGAGATCGCACCACTACACTTCAGCCTAAGTGACAGAGCGAGACCCTGTATCAAAAAAAAGAAGAAAAGTTAAAGAAAATAAAAGGAAAACTTACCTCTACGTGCTCACAACAATCTTCCCAAATAGATGCGGTCCGTTTTGACCTTTGCTTTTAATTGTTGTTTTCTTCATTTATTATAAACAGTATCTGTTGTCTTGCTACAATGAAATATGAGGAATTTAAATGATTACACTCTTCTGCCACTTCTACCTCATCCACTGTATTTTAGATCCTTTTAAATTCACTCTAAAATTAAAATATTATTCTTACAACTCTATATCTTGATCATTACTTTTAAAGTATCTTTTGACACCACATTATGTTGGATAAGGAAATTTATGCTCCTAAACCTCTTCTACTTTCTTTCCCTGCTTCTACCTCCAGCCTTCTGTCAGCTATGCTAATAGTTCTGAAACTTTTAGTACTTCATGGACTACCTCTATGCATTTGCCAAATGCAAATACACATCTACTATTGATACTTTTTCCTAAGATGGACTGTTTCTTTATTTACATGAATGTATTTAAGGTAGAAACTTTACTTCATTATTGTAATAGAAACCAGTATCATTTACTACACTAGACACCAATCTTAATAATAAATATAATGAAATCAGGACAATTTTACCAAATTTTAAACATTAAAAGCAGGAAGGTACAAATGAATATAAAAATAATCTACTTATAAAAATGCATGCCTGAAACCTAGTCTGTTCTGCATTCAAGGCCCTCCATACTGGGTAGAGGGAGACAAGGGGAGAGAGGAACAAATGGAAAACCACAGGTCCACAGCATACAGCAGATGTACCTCCATCCAGGGTTCATGGCAAGAGTTTCCCCTCTTCTATAGTTTCAGCCAGTTCACAAGGACTCCTCTTTTGTAGACTCAGCTAATTCTACATAATTCTCTTTCTCTTGAGCTTTATGCACACTTGCGGGTAAAAGTGTAGGTATTGGGGATGGAGTTAAGGTGGAGCTTACTGGTGTAGAATGTCCAATATGAACAAATGGCAATTTGCTGGAGTTAATGTGAACAGTTCCCTTGTATGGAAGGGAAGGAAGAGGAGCTGAAATCTTTTAAAGGGTTAGGAGAGATACTTCGAGTTATGACTTATCCCTTTAAACCAGAGTGAGGGAGGGCAGAGTAGTTAGGCTATTTCACTATATTAAATACGAGCTCATCTTATTTCTTTTCAGTTCTAGAATCTATTTGGTGAGCAGCCTATTAACAAATATAATACCTTTTAACATGTGACATCTATTCTTGATTGCATGTATTATTCAAGGTAAATAATACTAGTTTCCATAACTGGTAAACCCTGACATCTTACTGGTTTAAAACAAGAGAAGTTTATTGCTTGGTCAGGTTACAGTCCAGTGTGCATGGTTTAAGGAAGATGGAGCAGTTAGGGAGTTTCTGCGGTATGCAATCATTTAGAGATGCAAGCACCCTTCATCTTGTAGGGATCTACTTCTTAGGGATCCTGTCTTTTCAGCTAGTGATTTTCAACTTGTTTCATTAGCATCTTAATAAAATTTTCTGTATAAATAAACATGTAACAGAAAAGATTAGTTATTATACTAACATTTGGTTCTATGTATATGTCATATCCTGTTAATTATTTTAATATACACTGTCTTAGTCCTCACTAAGGCATAGTTTGAGGTAGGTACTATTATCCTCATTTTTATGATGAGGAAATGGAGTCATAAAGCACTAGTGAAGTAAGCTAGTCATGGAAAGACAATACTGCATAATCTCCCTTATGTGTGGAATATAAAAAAGTCAAACTCATAGAAACGGTATAGTGCTGGTTACCAGCGGTTGGGAGGATTGGGAGATGTTGGTGAAGGGATACAAAATTTTATAATAGACTGGTGGAATAAGTTCAAGAGATCTGTTGTACAACATGGTGACTATAGTTGATAACAATGTATTGTGTACTTGAAAATTAGTAAATTTTAAGTATTCTCACCACAAGTGGTAAATATGTGAAGTAATGCATATGATAATTAGCTCCATTTAGCTGTTCCACAATATGTACATATATCAAAACATCGTGCTAAACATTGTAAGTATATACAGTTTTCTAAAAAAGGATTAGTTGAGTCTTAACTCAGGTCTCTCTGACTCTTCAAGTTGTATTTTTGTGTGTGTTGGGAGGGGTGGATAAAATAGGCATAAAATTCATACTTTAACTATTTTGAGATATACAGTTTGGTGGCATTTAGTACATTTACAATGTTGTGAAACCATCACCACTATCTAGTTCTAAAACATTTTAATCGCCCTCAAAGGAAACTCTGTACCTATTAAGTAGTCACCCCTCATTTTCCGTGTCCCCAGCCCCTGGTAACCACTAATCTGCTTTTTGTGTGTCCCTGTGGATTTACTTATGTTGGATAAAGTAATCCATAAGTAAATTGAGTAATATTGTGACCCTTTGTGTGTGTTTGACTTCTTTCACTTAACATAATATTTCTAGGTTTATTCATGCTGTAGCATGTATTACTACTTTCATCCTTTTTATTGCTGAATAATATTCCATCATATGGGCATACCATATTTTGTTTATCCACTTATCCATCCTTTGATGGACATTTGGCTTGTTTCTGCTTAGCTATTGTGAACAGTGCTGCTGTGAACATTAGTTTACAAGTATTTGTGTGAACATCTGTTTTCAGTTCTTTGGTATGTATATCCAGGAATAGAATTACTGTGTCATATGGTAACTCTTTGTTTAAATTTTGAAGAACTGCTGGACTATTTCCCAAAGCTCTACATCATTTTATATTTCTACCAGCAGTGTGTGATGGTTTTGATTTTTTCCAGTCCTTTGTCAATACTTGTTATTGTCAGACATTTTGATTACAGCTATCCTTGTGAGTGTGAAGTGGTATCTCACTGTTGTTATTATTTACATTTCTCTGTTGACTGCTGACCAGTGATATTAAGCATCTTTTAATGTGTTTAATGGCTCTTTGTATATCTTCTTTGGAGAAATGTCTATTCAAATCTAGTGCCTATTTTTAAATTGGATTGTTGGTGATTTTGTTGTTATCAGAGTTTTTTTAATGCATCCTGGCTACTAGACCTTTAGATGTGTAGAGTGTCTTTCACTCTCTTGATAGTGTCCTTTTTTTTTTTTTTTTTTTTGAGACGGAGTCTTGCTCTGTCGCCCAGGCTGGAGTGCAGTCACACAATCTTGGCTCACCACTGCAACCTCCACCTCCCAGGTTCAAGCAATTCTTCTTCCTCAGCCTCCCGAGTAGCTGGGATTACAGGCACACACCACCATGCCCAGCTAATTTTTGTATTTTTTTTTAGTAGAGATGGGGTTTCACCATGTTGGGCAGGCTGGTCTCGAACTCCTGACCTTGTGATCTGCCCGCCTGGGCCTCCCAAAGTGCTAGGATTATAGGCATGAGCCACTGTACCCAGACAATAGTGTCCTTTGAGTCACAAAAGTTTTACATTTTAATGAAGTCCAATTATCATTTTTTTCTTTTGTTACCTGTGCTTTTAGTATCATGTGAACTCTGAGAAGCCATTGCCAAATCCAAAGTCACACAGATTTACCCTTATTCTTTCTGCTAAGAATTTTATTGTTAGATCCTTGGCTGGTATTTAATTAATTTGTATATATGGTGTGAGGTAGGGGTTCACCTATGTTCTTTTGCATGTAAGGAGCTAATTGTCCCAGCAGTATTTGTTGATGAGACTATTCTTTCACCATTGAATGGTCTTGGCACTCTTGTTGAAAATCATTTGACCATAGATGTATATATTTATTTCTGGACTCTTCTTTTTCATTGATCTATATGTTTATCCTTATGTCACTACCACACTGTTTTGCTTACTGTAGTTTTGTTGTAAGTTTTTAATCTTCTCCCCCTTTTTTTTTTTGGTTAGTCTAGTTAAAGGTTTATCAGTTTTGTTGATCTTTAAAAAGAACCAACTTTTTTTTTTTACTCCCTCTATTGTTTTTCCATTCTCTATTTTGATTATATCTACTCTAATCTTTATTTTTTTGTTTCTTCTGCTAGCTTTGGGTTTAGTTTCTTCTTTTTTTCTAGTTCTTTAAATTGTAAAAGTAGGTTATTGATTTGGGATTTTCTTTTTTAACATAGGCTTGCATGAGCCTAAACATCAGCCAGAGGTGAGAGCTTAGGATTTCTTGGGTCATTTCTGAGTATGTGTACATCTCTGGGCATGCATGTGGACTTCTAGATTCTCCAGTTATTATGCAGAAGGTTTTCCAAATTTTTATTCCCTCATGTACCCTCTTTTCCCAGTTTCTTCTTTCCTATGCCTTTCAGTCTATCTGCTGCTTTCCCTATCTGTTATCCCTTGTCCTAGGCTGCTACAGCTAGTATATTTGTTTCAAATGTTTTTTGACAAACAGCAGAGGCTCCAGCCCTGAGAAAGTTCTGAGGCAGGTGAAAGAAAGGCAAGCATCTGAGCTCATCCCTCAGGGAGCCATCATACAGGTCAAAACAATCACATTTTTTAAAGAACAAGGTCCATTTTACCCCCTCTTGGACCAGTAATCTGCACCAGGAACACGGGCCACCCCAAGACCACTGCCCAGCTGGGCAGTGGGGAATGGTAGGTGGGTAAGTTAAGATGTTCTCATCAAAATTAGTAGTTTGTTTCTTCATTAAGCATTCTCCTAATTTTTGTAAGTTTTTATTTAGATTGTACAGCTTCTAAAAATTAATTCTAACAGTTTTTGGCAGTTTAATCAGAGTTTTGTAGTTCCCCAGTGTGTCATTTTCAGTGACGTTACTTCATAAATTGCCATTTTAACTACACAGTGAAATTCATCATTAAAGACTGGTGAAGAACATAAAGTTACATTAATGTTTCAGAAGTAGGTATTGGAAATTTTAAGTTACTGATATCAATATTATATGATTTGCTCTCAGAAAGAATTTAACACAGAAATTTAGAGAAGCACCAATTCCATAGGGTTTTTTTGAAATATTTAAATATATTTTTATATCTATTTACTTTTTCACTGTTAGCTTGTGTTTTCTGTCGAAAACATGATGACTGTCCTAATAAATACGGAGAAAAGAAAACTAAGGAGAAATGGAATCTCACTGTACATTACTACTGTTTGGTGAGTATAATTTATAATTAAATTCTAGAAATTTGGTGTTCTAAAGAAGATAGTAAGATTCTGACACTGATTTCTGAGAATTGGATAAGTCATTTAACTTCTCCAGATCTCATTTTGTCTATCTCTAAAAATAGACATTTTGTTTTTTGATATTGAATTCTAAGATTCTGAAGTTACTTAGTACATACAAAGACCTATCATTATTTCGTGTTTGTTTGTTTGTTTGTTTTTCTTTCTTTCTGTTTAAGGCCTAAGTGAAAAAAGGAAAAAATGATTAGGTCTATAAAGGAGGTATTTCTTTTACCACTTTCTTATTTCATTTGTTGCTAGTGATAAATCTGAGAAAAGATTTGTTTGAGGGTTCAGGGAGTGGAATAAAAGTATTTTATTTCACACAGAACCTGAAAAGAAACGTCTTGGCTAAAGGTGATAAATATTTTTGGAAAAGGAAACCAGTTACTTTATGTATCACTCAGAAGAAAGCAAACGAGTGATTTCATACTCAGAATTAGTCTCCCTTTGTTCCCCCTCCCCTCCACCAATTTCTCACCTCACTGAATTCATGCCTTAAGATATTAGTGGCACATTACCACCTTAGCATGCCAGGCTTGCATTAGTACATACAGTGTTTCTTGATACTATATAGTTATCTGCTGCTTAAAAAATTATTCTGAAATTTAGCAGATAAAACGTTTGTCATCTCACATAGTATCTGAGGGTCAGGAATTTGGCTGAGCTGGATAGTTCAGGCTCAGAGTCTCATGATATTATCATTGAGATGTCAGATTACAGCTGAAGACTTTACTAGGTTGCAGGATCCATTCACCTCTGATGGCTCTGTCATGTGGCTTTTGGCCTCAATTTCTCCTAGCTAGCGTCAGGAAACCTCAGCTCCTTACCTCCTGGGCCTCTTAGTAAATAAGGCTACTCGTGGCATGGCATCTGGCTTCTCCCAAAGCAAGTGATGAGAGAGACAGAGAGAGAGAAATCAAGATGGAACCATATGACCTAGTCATCACAGCCACACACTAATGTCACTTTTGCTTTATTCTGTTAGAAACAAATCATTAAGTCTAGTAGCCCACACTCAAGAGGAATTAAGCCCCACTTCTTGAAGTATCAACAAATTGTGGACATATTTTCAAATCTACCACCATCCATGTTAAAATTATTTCAGTGCTTCTTTGAGAAACCACCTGAAGTATTCCTTGGTCCTCTAAGACTACAGTCTTGTGCCTCCGTACCTCAAAGGTTAAATAGAGTAGTAGACTGGCCTGGGAGCTTATTTATAAGAGAACATGAAGTTGTCATTCCAAATATGTTTATAAGTTACAGACGATTATGTTTTGCAGTAAAAAGAAAATCTTTCCATTTTTGTAAGTTTATTTTACTTTTTTTTCAGTCAGGAAAGGATTATTTTACTTTTCTATAAAGTAAAAGGATTATTTTATTTTTTTCTATAAAAAGTAAAATAAAAAGTATTATTTTACTTTTTATGCAGTAGAATTAGGAGAGCCATTTTATGTGTCTGCAGGTTATGTTTTCATAACAAATTCTTAGTGTGTATCACTTGTTATCACTTGTTTTTCTTTACGATATACTGGTTAAAATTCTAATCACAAATTTGCTCTACATGGTGTTTTCAAATTATGTAATACATTTAAGTTGATCAGATCAAAATTTCTCTTATGTTCTGTCTTATTCAATGAATATAATACTTTAAAAAAAAAGTACTGACCCCAGACTTAACCCTTTTAATATTCTATTTCATTATGAACAGAAAAGTATAGTGATGTTACAAATGGCAATAGAATGCTAGAGCGGAAAGAGACTTAGATATAGTCTAATCCAGTGTTTTTATTTTCATGTTTAAGGTTTGAGACATTAATACTTGCCTAGGGTTCCAGAAGTTTCAGCAGAGCCTGGCTTGCAAGCCAGGATTTCTTATTCACATTCTACACTTTCTCTGATTCAGGCTTTCTTAACATGTATAAACAATGAAGCTTAAGTCAAATTTTTAAAAAGTCAAACATTTATTACTGTCACATTGGGGGTTAAGGAAACTTTCTAAAATCAAACATTTATGTTAACTAGGGTTCAATAGGTTTTCTTGTAAATAATGCCTTAATGATTCAGAATTCAGCTAGATTTAGAGTTAGCCTGAAATGTCACTGAATTAATCTGAATTGTCTCCATCTGTATTCACCACTCCTTTTTGTTAAGCTTAATTGTAGGTGTTCTTTCTTTCTTTTTTTCTTCCTCTAACCCACCTAACCACTCACTGCCTTCTTTCCTATCTTTTCTTTTTCTTTCTTTTTCTGTTACTTCCTGGAATACTTTTAGAAACTAATTAGGATATACAAACTGATAATATACAGTGCCATCTAAATCAAACAATGTAAGTAGCCTCTTACTTTGACCATGAAAAATAACTACTATAGATAACTACTTGAAATTTGAGCCATTTTATGTCTGTTTTTTATTAGACTGAATAGTATGGATATATATTTTTTTAATGCCCAACTAGTTTCTTAGAGTTTATTTTCTAATTGAGAATATATTCATAGTTGATGTCAAGTGGAATTTGGCAGAGAGGCAAAGAAGAAGAAGGAGTTTATGGTTTTCTAATAGAAGATATCAGGAAGGAAGTGAATAGAGCTTCTAAACTGGTAAGTAAATTATTTTACTATTAAGTAATGTCATAAATATTGTCAATACTTGGGAAGTCTTTTCTATCAGTTTCTGTACTAGAAATTTATGACTTTGATTATAGGTTTCAATGCATATTTTGTCATTTAAATATGGTAAGTTTTAGGAGGACAGTTTATATTTTTGCCCATTAAAGAAAGCTTAATTGACCCTGGATAATACATGTGACAATACTGACTTCACTTCCTTATCTTATTCCAACATGTCCATCAGAATTGACCATCAGAATTATGATCTGATGGTCAATCTTCTCTGACCATCAGAATTATGATCATAACTCCACTCTGCTGTTCTCTAAACCTTTGATCCTGAGTCAACCCAACCATATACTTTTTTATTCTTATACCTCAGTTTCTGAGATTGGAATGTTGGGTTGAGTTAGAAATTACACAGCTTTCCAGACTGGCAATTCATGATCTCCATATCTCCTGACCCTTCTCTAACATTGTGTGATTATATTCAGTACCCTTTTCTATTCTCTAGGATAGGCATTCTAAACTTTAACTCCTTGCTCATTCAGTTATCATTTGTGCATCTTCTATATAACAGCCACTATGCTGTATGCAGGGAAACGTCTCCATATTGTCTAAGTAAAAATAATGAGAAAGAATGAGAAGATTTGAAGTACAGGGAGTTCTGTTTAGAGAATGTGATACTGGCATTAATGATTTTCATGGGGGAGCATTTTGGGTGATGAAGGGATTCATCATTACACTGGAGGGGAAATGAAGGACACTGACACATTATAGTTGAAGAAGTCAAAGAAAGATTATCCCATAAATGCTGAAGTTGTTTAGACTTTGTTTTCCACAGATGCCAAAGTCTTGAGGTGGAGGAGTGACTAGGAAGTTAGCAGATAACAGAAGGGTAAATGTCATTAGGCTCAAAGGTCCAAATTTTTCAAAGTGTGAAAATCAAGTAGTGGCCTATAATATTCAACAGAGAACTAAAATAATGTTCTCTTTGTCCCCTTTCCTGCCCCTGTCCATGTCCCACCCCATGTCAAGTCTGGAAATTAAGGAGGATGGAAAAATAAGCAGCTTTATTCAAGAAGGTCTACAAGGGAAGCACATAAGAAACATTTATTCTTTTAGTTGAGGCAAAGAAGTGGAGGCAATTATTTTTGAAGATATCAAGAAGGTAGGAGAGTTAATGGTAAAAACAGAGGTTCTAGGGCACAAGGAAGAACCGTGGGAGAAAGGTGAGCATGAATCTAAGGACTACGTGAGATGTTAAACGTGAGATATTAGTATCATAATTCCTAAACTTCCTGGTGATAGTGAGCTTGTGGTAAAAGGTGGTCTCTAAAGGTCCCCTTATGGTTTGGAACTACAGATTGAATATCCCTTATCCAAAATGCTTGGAACCAGAATTTTAGATTTGAAATTTTTTTCAGATTTAGGAATATTTGCTTACCAGTTGAGCACCTCTAATCTGAAAATCCAAAACCCAAAATGTTCCAATGAGCATTTCCTTTGAGCATCATGTTGGCACTCAGAAAGTTTCCTATTTTGAAGCATTTTGGATTTTAGATTTTTGGATTAAGGGATATTCAACCTGTACTTATTTTCTTAAAACATCCGAATCCTCTCCAAGTATATTGTGAACCCTTGAAAAGAAGAGTCTCATTTGTGAACTCAAACTAGAATTCCTTGTTGTCAGTTCATTGGGAGAGTTTCGGGTTGGCAGGTATTCTCCAGTGACCTAGGTGGTGCTCAAAGGGGTCAGCAGTAACTCTGTAATCCCTGAATCAGTGACCATTTTAATTGCCGTCTTAAGGGTTCCAAGGTGTTTTAGGTACTGTTCTGTATTTTGCTAATGATTGATTCATTTAATAATTTTTCTATTTATGTACCACTGTTACATTTCAGTTAGCGGCACTGGTAGTATATTCATTTCCTAGGGCTGCCATAGCAAATTGGCTGCTTAAAACAAATTTATTCTCTCACCATTCTGGAGGCCAGAATTGTAAATCAAAGTGTCAAAAGGGTTCCTTCTAGAGGCACTAAGGGAGAATTGATTCCATGCTTCTCCCCTAGCTTCACATGGCTGCTGGCAACCTTTGGAGTACCTTGGCTTGTGGCAGCATAACTCCAATCTGTTTCTATCTTCACAGGCCTTTCTCTGTATATGCCTGTGTCTTAAATCTCCCTCTCCTTTCTCTTGTAAAGACCTCAGTTATTTGATTTAAGGACTACCCTAAATCCAGGATGATCTCAAGATCCTTAACTTAATTACATCTGCAAAGACCGTATTTCCAAGTAAGTTCACATTCACAGGTACTGGGAGTCGGGACCTGAGCATAACTTTTTGGAGACCACTCTAAATCCACTGTAGGTGTCTCAACACTTTTTCATTTGGTCAGAATAGAGTGATCTTAGCCTTTTTTACAAATTGGTTTATAGTATTTTCCTATTCTTCTTGGTGAGTGTTGCCTAATTTATGTGCTTTCTCTTGAGATTTCAATGAGGTGTTTATGTATATAGCTTTTATGTTTATAAACCCTTCAGTTTAAAATATTTTAGTAGGAAGGAAAAGGGGCTTCTCTGTCTTATCCACATGTTAGGCTAGAGATGTTTTCTTTATCGAAATTGTTATAGGAGTGAATCTTTGGTGTCTTTAGATTGTTTCTGGGTAGAACAGTTTTTCAGGAAATTTATTTAATATACCCTTACCACAGCTGTTACATGATGAAATAATTTTCAGATTCCCCACCAGGAGTATTTATTTATGTCTTGATCATATTATAATACTCAGATTTTTTATGTTGTGACCCCTATTTTCACATACTCTTCTAGAAATGCTGTGTTTGCAAGAAAAATGGTGCTTCAATTGGATGTGTTGCACCCCGATGTAAACGAAGTTATCATTTCCCATGTGGACTTCAGAGAGAATGTATTTTCCAGTTTACTGGCAATTTTGCGTGAGTTATTTAACTGTTAAATATGAAAGTTCAGTGTTAAAGAATAGTGGAAAATACATATCCCAATGATATAATACTACAATAAATTTTCTGTTTAGAGCATCAGAGTTTAGATATAACATTATATGTATTACCCTCCCGCCCACCCTTATGGGGTCATTTCTATGTGCCAAGTCTTGAGAATTACCATGTCTAGGATGGACCTAATGATTAGCTTTCATTTTCAATTTTCAGCTTTTGGATATAACATGAAATTGTTAATTTATCCATAATTCAGTGAAAATCTCCACCTTTACATAATTCTAGATTTCTGTGTCACTCTTTAGAATTATTGTAGACTTATTCTTCACAGGGCTGTATGCATTTCGAGTAAATCAAAGGCATGTAAATTTGATTGAGTACACAAAGTAAATATTATGCCCTAGGATACCCCTGAAAATATTTGCTTCCTGAGTACAACTTTAAACATCAAGGTTTTATGAATTTTGACTTTTGGTATCATAAGTATTCCATTTCTTTTAGTAGTTGTGTTTTTGACCTATTTAATGGATTGTTATCATGTAAGAAAACTACAGTTTAGAAAATACAAATGGAAATAAAGTGAATTGGGAATAGGTTATTAATTGCATTTTATGTGTTATATGACTAAACTATTTTTTAGGCGTAAGTTCCTGCCTCCCTTAATTTTATACGATTTTGAGCACAACGTATGCACCCATTTGTTGAATACAATAATGTATATACTGTATTGCTGACAATATTACACAGGATTCTCAACATAATTATTAGTTTCTGAAATTCTGTATAAGTAAGTCTCACTACCAGAAAAGTTCAGATTTCGAAGGTCCAGCTCTCTCCTTGGTCATAGATTGTGAGACTTAATTTTTAGTGCCAAGGCTCCAGTCTGTTGTAGGTGAATTATGAGACAGACACAAATGAATTTCATTTTATATATGTGAATTACAGTGTTTTCCAAGTTTTGCTTTGCAGTTCATGAGATTTTTTTAAAATAATTTACATTTTTAGGTCATTTTGTTGGGACCATCGACCTGTTCAAATAATTACATCTAATAATTATAGAGAGTCCTTACCATGCACCATTTGCTTGGAATTTATTGAGCCTATTCCAAGTTATAACATATTACGAAGTCCTTGTTGTAAGAACGCTTGGTTTCATAGAGACTGTTTACAGGTAAGATACATATTTTGTAAGCTTTCTCTGATTGATATAAAATTATGGCTTGCTGATTTAAATTTTAAATTAGAAAGAATTGACGTGTATATTACCTCTTACTACTTGTTACTTTTAAAACAGCTTTAAAGCACTTAATTTGAAGCAGATTTTACATACAAAATTCACCCTATTTAAGTATACAATTAACATTCAATAAATACTTCAGATGAAACTTTTTAATGTATATTTATACTTAAAGAATTTTGTTGTTTTTACCTAAGGATTTTGTTTGATTTCACAATGAATAAACTAGATTTTAATTCCTAAGTTTCATTTACATATTTATGCTGGAAAACCAGGATATTTGAAATGATAAGAAGCTTGATAGCAAGTTAAGATATTTAAACATTAGTAGGCTTTTCTTCCCAATGGTAAGCACTTTACCATAACTTCTTAACAGGGAGCTGATTACTGTCAATTAATTAAAAATATTGGTTCTTTGAGAGTCATCTTACGTATCAAACCTTATTACTACTTTTCAAGTAAATAGAATATGATAAGACATAACATTAGACAATTTAATAATTCTTTGATTCTGAAAATACTTGAAAACTTGAAAAAGATTCCAGTTATTAGTAACATCAAATATGTAATATGTACATGTGAAAGTGCCAGCTGATGAACTTAAGTTTAATACTGTTTTTTAAAGTTTATTATTGTTTATTAAAATGAAAGGTTATTATTACTAATTGTCCACAGACATATTTTTAAAAGTTAAAAGATGTAGGCCGGGTGTGGTGGCTCACGCCTGTAATCCCAGCACTTTGGGAGGCCGAGGAGGGTGGATCACGAGGTCAGGAGATCAAGACCATCCTGGCTAACACGGTGAAACCCCGTCTCTACTAAAAATACAAAAAAAAAATTAGCCGGGCATGGTGGCGGGTGCCTGTAGTCCCAGCTACTAGGGAGGCTGAGGCGGGAGAATGGCATGAACCCGGAAGACGGAGCTTGCACTGAGCCAAGATGGCACCACTGCATTCCAGCCTGGGCCACAGAGCGAGACTCCATCTCAAAAAAAAAAAGATGTAAATTCTCTTATTTCAATAAAGTCTTAAAAATACTAACAGTACTAAAAGTAGTAAAGTTTGACTGATACCTTTTTTTTTTTTTGTATGGACCTTGAACTTTTATACTTAGGATTATTCAGTTAAAAGTGCAGGATGAAGGCAGGGCACAGTGGCTCATGCCTGTAATCCCAGCATTCTGGGAGGCCGAGGAGGGCGGATCACCTGAGGTCAGGAGTTCGAGACCAGCATGGCCAACATGGTGAAACCCTTTCTCTACTAAAAATACAAAAAAAAAAAAAATTAGCTGGGCGTGGTGGTGCACACCTGTGATCCCAGCTACTTAGGAGGCGGAGGCAGGAGAATCGCTTGAACCCGGGAGGTAGAGGTTGCGGTATGCTGAGATAGCACCACTGCACTCCTGTCTGGGCGACAGAGCAAGATTCTGTCTTTAAAAAAAATGCAGGATGAAGCCTGTTTTGTTGGGGAAATATTAGAAATTCGGTTAATACTTGCAAAGAGGTGTTTATAAAAGGATCCTAGAGAGTGCAGTTAATAAACAACATTGTGAAGTGTTATCCTTACCTGTTCATATTATATGAGAATCTTTAAAAAGTAATTTGTTTTAATTAAGGGTTTGTATTTGGATGAATATAATTGCTGCCAAATGTGTCATCTTGTTAATTTTGTAGCAGTATGTTATTTTTCATAAGATTTTTCTCATTTATTTGTTAATAATTAAGCAAAGAAAGGTTCTCATACTTGACCTAGTATCATTAAGGCCTTTTGTGAACACTCTGAAAATACTGAGTTTTAATTTTGTCGTTAAAAAAGTAGAAATAATATTACTAACAAAAAAGACTAGGTCTACTTTATGCAAATATAACTGAAGATCACAGCCACATGGACACCTGTCTATGATGTAAGAAATATCACTAAGCAATTATTATTATACTCGATTAGAGCATACTAAGGATGGGGCTAATTCTTGAGTCACTCTCTCTAAAGGAGTTCCAATAACTTTTGTACTCTGGTATCGGTCTTAACTGAAATAACATATGGAGTCTTATCCAATCTAGATAGCTGTATGTGGTTAAACAAATGTCATTATTTGTAACCACTACAAATAATATACATTGGGATTTTGGGAGAAGAGACTAGAGATTGCTATCAAAGAAACTGGTAAAAACTTTCCACTCTGTGTCTACAGAATTGTCACTATTTTTGTTCAGCTTGGATTTTTCCATCATTGCTCTAGTCTTGTTGGTATCTTCCATGTGTCTTATCCTGTTTTTTCTCCTCTATACCAGATACTTCCTTTTATCGTATACCATATTTAGTTAAAGATCTTGGCATCTGTCTGCAATTGCTCAAATATCCTTTAGGTTCAGAGATTTCAATAACCTGTTGTTTCCCTCCCTTATATGGGTGGGTGGGTGGGTGGGTGTGCGTGTGTGTGTGTGTGTGTGTGTGTGTGTGTCACTTGCTAATTGTCTGAACCTGGAATCCTCTTTATTAGCTTCTCTCTTCACCATCCGTAAATCATTCCCCAAGTGTAATCAAGTCTACTTAGTATATTCTGTGTATCCTTTTTATTGTAATCCTACTCTCACTGCTTTAATTTCAGACACTCTTTTTGGTAGGAGACCACTAGTTGGTCTTTCTCTAGGGCCTTAGTCCCTATCAATTTATTCTTCATACTACTGTCTTTAACTTACCTACCTAGCCTCTACTTAGTTCAGTTTGGCAAGAATGTAATCCTTAACTATATTATTAATTGTATTTTCCTAATTACACATTCTCTCTCTTGCCGGGGAAACTTCATATATATTATTCCCCATCCTTGGAATGTCTTTTGTCCTATTTTCCTGGCAAACCTCTATTTCTTCTTCTAAACTTAGCTTTTGCTTTACTAACCCTCTGACATAATTATCAGTATAGACTTAGGTACTCCTTCTTGTTTCTTTCATGTGTATACTTAAAATACTCACATACTTTTACACAGTATTGTAGTTTTATACCTGTATACCTACTCACTAGAATTCCTTGAAGTCGAAGCTGTCATGTTTTTTGGTACATAATACCAAATGTTGTTTGTATTTTTGGTACATAGCATGGTGTTTGGCATCTATAAAGCAGGAGTTAACTATCTGTTAAATAAATGCATGCTACTAGTTTTTACTGGGGACTGGCTCTTCTTTCCAGTAGGCTTACAGTTTCCTGTTTCCTTCTGAGTACCCTCTGTCTGGTGCTTCTGTATCTGTATTTGCTATAGCAATGAGGATAGGTTTTATACTTCTCCCGTTTTGGGAAGAAAGCTGTCTTAGAGATTGAGTTAAAAACAGAACCAGTGATGATTTTTATGTAACATTTAAACCCCATTTCTAGATGAGGTAACTCAGGAGTTTCATTTTTTTCTCACATTTTAAAGGGCAACACAACATTTAGTAACATTACACAGTAAGTAAAATGACATTGCACAATAAGATTGAAAAAAATATATGGGTGATGTAAAGCTAAGTATTAATTAGCTTTTTTTTTAACCATTGGAAAAAAGAATTATAGATTTTAGCAGTGGGATAACTTAGTTTATAAGGACAAAGTTTGAGAACCCACTAGCATAGAAAATGTTTTCATAATATATTGTTAAAAATAGCACATGTTCTGTTACATAATATATCACCTGATAACAGATTTAAATCATTAACAGTAGACTTTTTATTTTCCACTGTAGGTTCAAGCAATAAATGCGGGAGTGTTTTTCTTTAGGTGTACAATATGCAATAATAGTGACATCTTTCAGAAAGAGATGTTGAGAATGGGAATTCATATTCCTGAAAAGTGAGTAACATTTAGCCTTATGATAAAAAAAAGATATTTTAAATGTAGGATTTAATAGCAATGGAAATGATCACTTATGTCTGATTCAGTGAGCATGGACAGGTAGCCATTTCAAATGGTGAAATGCAAAACCTTCTCCTCCCCCACATGGCCAGTTCTTGGAAAGCAGGGACTGTGTCATAAATGTCTCATTCATTGATTTATAATCTCTTTATAAGTAGCTCAGCTATGTCCAATTTTAATTGATTGACTTTGTACACTTATAATAGGCTTCAAAATGTATAAATTAAGAGAATCAAGATGTGATTTAAAATATGTAAGAATTTTTTTAATACTTAAACATGAAGAATCCAGAAATAATGATAGTGAACTTAAAATTAAAAATCGAAAGTGAAATATTTGGAAAAATGTGTTATAAAAAATTTCTTGTTAACTTTTCATTTAGCATGTGAAAATTCATTGAGACTAATTAACTGTATGATAAAATAACACTAATGGATTTATATCTTAAAGAGAATCCTGAAAAGGACAAGTTTTATTATTCTCCTAAGTATATAAAAGTTTTTATTTTAGGCCAGGCATGGTGGCTCACGCCTGTAATCCCTCCCCTCACTTTGGGAGGCCGAGGCGGGCAGATCACCCAAGGTCAGGAGTTCAAGACCAGCCTTGCCAACATGGCGAAACCCTGTCTCTACTAAAAAATACAAAAACCAGCCGGGCATGGTGGCAGGCCCCTGTAATCCCAGCTACTTGGGAGGCTGAGGCAGGGAGAATCGCTTGAACCCGGCAGGCGGAGGTTGCAGTGACCTGAGATTGCACCACTGTACTCCAGCCTGGGCGAAAGAGCAAGACTGCGTCTCAAGAACAAAAAAAGGTTTTTATTTTTAGATTCATTCCTGATCCTCTTATGTAACATTATTTATAGGTCAAAGCATATTTTATATCTTCTTTTATAGAGATGCTTCCTGGGAATTAGAGGAAAACGCTTATCAAGAGCTTCTGCAGCACTATGAGCGTTGTGATGTTCGAAGATGTCGTTGCAAAGAAGGGCGAGACTATAATGCACCTGATAGGTATTTCTGAAAGTTCAGTTGTGCTTAGTGGTTCCTTGTTTAAACCTTCTGCTGAGAAAGTAGATTTTATAGTTAGTGAAACGTAGTTTTTCTCTTAGGATGTTAGAAGTTTAAATTGAGATGAGGGATATTTTCTAATGCACATTTACGTCTGTTTACAGAGAAATTTTTGCAGTTAGTATAGTTGTAACCTATTTCTCTGTTGTCTTATCACGAGACTATTTTCTAGAGCCACACTGTCCTATCTGGTGGCCACTAGCCACATGTGGCTGTTGAGCACTTGAGATTTCCCTTTTCCAAATTGCAAGGGTGCTGTAAATACATACCAAAGACTTAGTTCACTAGGGCTGCCATTAACAAAATGCCACAGACTGGGTGGCTTAAAATAAATTTATTTTCTCATAATTTTAGAGGCTGGAAGTTTAAGATCAAGTTATTGACAGGTTTGGTTTTTTCTGAGGCCTCCCTCCTTGGCTTGCAGATGGCTGTGTTCTAGCTATGTCCTCACACGAGTTGTCCCTCTGTCGGTGTGTTGTCTACGTCCTAATCTCTTTTATTTTTATAAGAACACCAGTCATTTGGTTTAGGGCCCACCTATCTGACCTTATTTTACTGTAATTACCTCTTTTTTTTGTTTGTTTGTTTTGAGATGGAGTCTTGCTCTGTTGCCCAGACTGGAGTACAGTGGCATGATCTCAGCTCACTGCAACCTCTGCCTCCCGGGTTCAAGCAGTTCTCCTGCCTCAGCCTCCCGAGTAGTTGGGATTACAGGCGCATGCCACCATGCCTGGCTAATTTTTGTATTTTTTAGTAGAGATCGGGTTTCACCATGTTGGTCAGCCTGGTCTCAAATGCCTGACCTCGTGATCTGCCCGCCTCGGCCTCCCAAAGTGCTGGGATTACAGGCATGAGCCACTGCGCTCGGCCATAATTACCTCTTAAAAGGCCTTATCTCCATATATAGTCACCTTCTGATGTACTAGGACTTAGGATTTACTTCAACATATGAAGTGGGGAGAGACACATTTCAGCCCATAGTCATATTATTTTAATACGACTTAAAGAACTTACATGACCAAATAACTTAAAATTTGTTGTTAATAATTTTTATGTAGATTACATATTGAACAAAATTATAACATTTTGGAAATAAAAATATATGTTATTTAACTTTTTTATATTTTTTAATGTGGCTACTGGAAAATTTTAAATTACATATATGGTTTACATTGTATTTCTATTGGACAGCACTGTTCTAGAGGGTAATTTAACTAGATTCATCTAGCACTGTTCCTTTTGGACCACCATAAAAAGGGTTTGGCATTTGAAATTTATTGATTACTCTTTTGTAATGTCAGTGGATACGGCTCTTTTCTACAACAGTCATTTTGTGCATTTGAGGTACAGTGTACTGTGTTGCATAGTAGGAACTAAGAATATCTTCAGTTTTTAAGATGTAGGATAAGTAACAAATCCAGTTTACAAAATTTATATAGGAAATTTCAATAATTTGTTATCACTGTTATGTAGTCTTACTTAACATAGTAAGCTCAGTGTATAGAGCAGAATACTGGGAGCCTTGTTTCATGAAACAAGGTTGAGTCAGCTACTACTTAATTGTGAAGATTCAGCTGAGGTCTAGCCTGCTCTGGAAAGTTTCCTGTTAGCAGCTCTCCTCATTCCTGATTCCCTACTCTGGGCTAGGGGTTCCCTTCATTGTGCTTGTTACAATATAGTTGGCGTTATTTAAATTTAATGCTATTAAACCAAAAATTCTTAGAAGGCAGAGATCTCATTGAAGGTATCAAGTAACATGTATTCTTGCCTGTGTTACTTGATCTAGTGACCCTGATTATTCATTCGTTAACACCAATAATATCTCCCTCAAGAGTTTTGCTGAGGCACAGATGAAATAATGTATATAGAATTTTAAGAAGCAATACATTCATAATATTGATATTTTTCAAATTTATTTTAGGCTGTTCTTAACCTATATGTATTTCTTGTATACCATTGGTCTCTCAATCAGTAGCTACAACTCTTCTTTCCAGGACAAAGATATTGTCTATCTGAATGACTGCTTTGTAATCTCACGCCCTCTCATCCTAGTGAGAAGAAGGCAGTTTTAGTGAAAGGCAGCATGGTTAGTGCTTAAGAGCATGTCTGAAGCTAGATAAACTGAAATGGAATCCTCACTCTGAGACTTGGCTAGTGTGAACTTGAGTGGACAAGTTATTGACCCCTCTGTGCCTTGATTTCCTCTTTATAATGGAAGTGACAGTGGTTCTCTCTACCTTCTACAATTGTGAGGATTAAACTTTTCATATGAACACAGAGAGAACTGGACCTGGAGCATAATAAGCACTTAGGTTAGCTGTTTCTTCCTCCGCACTGTTGTCACTGGGCAGAGACACACACATACACAGGACAGAAATTAACATACGCACACCCACACAGAGGGATGATATGCCCCCACCTCTGGGGTAGGGATGATATCTAGTTACCTCTCTTGCCACTCACACACACGGGGAGCTAAATCTGTTTCTAAACAGAGAAGGCATAGTCATACCCAACAAAAAGGCTGGAGCCCTACACTACAGCCCACACTTGTAGTCATGGAGAAAATATGAATATGGACTGGCATACACCACATAACACAGTGGGGAAACATGGAGCTGGGAACAGATGACAGAGAATATAAATATGAGCCAGGTAGATCTGGATTCTGTTGAACTGCACAATACCTGAGGTGTTTGAGCAAGCTTATTTTAGGAAATATTCCTCACCTTGAAATTTACTGAATGTTTCTTCCATATCAGACACACTGACACAGCAATCTCCCTGTAAGCATAGTCATCTCTAAGTAGAAAGGAAAATTTATTTTCTCCCTCTTAGTCATATTTTGTCTGATGTTTATATTCTTTGTATGTGCATATACATACAAAATATTTGTTTATATTCTTTGTATGTGCATATGAGTGTGATAAGTTAGTTTTGGTTTTTACATTAGAGATATTTAGAGAAGCAGATAATCTTTTTCTTCCTTTAGTAAATCGATTGGGCGGGTGTGTGCGTGTTTGTGTGTAAGAAGGCAGGCCCTGTGGACATTGCTAGTGGTTGAAACTAGAATAATAACAAAATGTAAGTTCTGCTTTTCTTTGTGTCCTCAGCAAATGGGAAATAAAGCGCTGTCAGTGTTGTGGTTCCAGTGGCACACATTTAGCCTGCTCCTCATTACGGTCATGGGAGCAAAATTGGGAGTGTTTGGAATGTAGGGGTATTATCTACAATTCAGGTAATTTTTTTGTAATTTTGAATAAAGTTTTTATTCAAATGTATATGATTTAAAAGTTTTTACCTATATCTCTATTATGCTAACATGGAAATTTAAATCTGTAGGAGAGTTCCAAAAAGCCAAAAAACATGTATTACCCAATTCTAATAATGTGGGGATTACAGATTGTTTGTTGGAAGAGTCATCACCTAAATTACCCAGACAGTCACCTGGATCCCAGAGTAAAGATCTACTGAGGTATGTATTTTGAATTGGAGAAATACATAAAAATCTATTTGGAGAAAATTATGATAGGAAATGCCATATACATTTAGAATATTAGGTGATCATACAGTAGTCTAGAAGAATGTTTTTCAGCCTTCAGGACCCAACATTTGATCATGAAATCAATGCAACCAGCATTTTAAAGAAAATGAAATGGGATAGAATAGAATACAAAATACCAAACTGCATCATACGTGGGAAAAGTGTATCTATCCTACTGCATCATACGTGGGAAAAGTGTATCTATCCTAATTATTTTTTTGTGTACTGAGTAATGATGTAAAATATATTTTTTATTATAGATCACTTTCAAGATAGTTTGAAAAACACTGGTCTGGAAAATGTACTTAAAATGTTATTTGATTATAGAGTAAGACAGGAAAGTAAAATATCAAGCATACCGTGTCACCTTATTAAAAGGAAAGAATCCTATTTAATATAGAAATTTTTTTTTCTTTTTTCTTTTTTTTAGAAATAAAGTCTCGCTCTGTTACCCAGGCTGGAGTACAGTGGCATGATCATGGCTCACTGCAGCCCCGACCTCCTGGGCACAAGTGATCCTCCCACCTGAGCCTACCAAGTGGCTGGAACTACAGATGCATGCCACCATGCTTGGCTAATTTTTAAATTTTTGTAGAGATGGACATCTTGCTATGTTGCCCAGACTGGTCTTGAACTCCTGGTCTCAAGTAGTCCTCCCACCTTTGCCTCCCAAAATGTTGGGATTACAGGTGTGCGCCACTATGCCCTGCCATTTTTTGATGTTATAATCATTGTTTGCCTGTTTACTGTCAATGGCAGGAGTCTAAATGTCAGCTCTTCCCTTTAGAAAGTTTAAGGCATACATACTATTATCAAATTAATTTCTGTTCCCATGAGACAAAATAGGCCGGGCATCGTGGCTCACGCCTGTAATCCCAGCACTTTGGGAAACCTAGGCGGGCGGATCCCGAGGTCAAGAGATCGAGAACATCCTGGCCAATATGGTGAAACCCCGTCTCTATTAAAAATACAAAAATTAGCTGGGCATAGTGTTGTGCATCTGTAGTCCCAGCTACTTGGGAGGCTGAGGCAGGAGAATTGCTTGAACCCAGGAGGCGGAGGTTGCAGTCAGCCAAGGTCGCGCCACTGTACTCCAGCCTGGTGACAGAGCCGAGACTCTGTCTCAAAAAAAAAAAAAAAAGGTAGCAAAATAATAAGTTACTTTCAAAATCTTAAACATTTAAATAAGACTGGAATTACATCTTTATAATGTTGGGTATTTGTTCAGCTGTAGTTAAGATTTTTAAGTTTATATAGATTTGCAAAAGAGTTTTTAGAGCCTTGCTTTACCCAATAGGGAAGAAGTAGAAAATTAGTCGCTAAGCATGATGAAATACTTTCTTGTTAAAAATAATTTCAGGCTGGGCATGGTGACTCATACCTGTAATCCCAACAGTTTGGGAGGCTAAGGTGGGAGGATCATTTGAACCCTGGAGTTCGAAACCAGTCTGGGCAATATTACGAAACTCTGTCTCAACAAAAATATTTTGAGAAAATAGCCAGGTATGGTGGTGTGCACCTGTAGTCCTAGCTAGGCAAGAGGCTGAGGTGGGAGGATCATTTGAGCCCAGGAGTTCAAGCTGCAATGAGCTATGATCATGCCACTATACTCTCACCTGAGTGACACAGCAAGACCTTGTCTCTAAAAAGTTTCAAGTTTAAAACCTTAGAAGATAGTAAAGAGAATTTTTGTGAAAACATTTGATAACTGGATTTGCAGACAGGTAGAATATTAAGTACTCTTTCAAAATGTGAAGAATATCTGTTTTACTATGCCACTTGTGTTAGCTCTACTGAAAAATCTGTTACAAATATTGTTATAACACTTTTAGTATCAAAATAGATGTTCACATTATTTTAAAATAATTTTAATATTGAGATTTCCAAAGACGCTACACCAGGGAAGCTTGACTCCTTGCTCCTGCTTTAACATGCAGTCATATTTAGAAGAATAGCATCAGCATTCCCCTGATCCAGGCAGGAGCAAGGAATCAACCTGCTATAAAAAAGGTATGTTTCTGAAGAATTATCTTACTTCCAAAGGACTTTCGCTTTTATTCAACATGAGTTAATGAAGAGAGGATCATAAGAAAAAAGAAAAAGCAAAACCTGGCCTACACTAGGGCACTGTAACGTCTTGGGGTGGGACAGATTCATACTTGGTATGGAAAATGATCCATGGGCATTGCCCAAAACAAGATTATTTTTGAGAACATTAATTCCAGTTACAGATGGAGAAACTGAGGGAAGGAGTGATTGAGCTGGTTTATATCGTCACTTGGATTGTTAAAACAGATTGCTGGGCTTCATGCCGACAGGTTCTGATTCTATAGATGCGCTGTAGGGCTCAGTAATTTGCATTTCTAACAAGTTCTGGGGTAATGCTGCTGCTGCTGCTGCTGCTGGTCTGGGAGCACACTTTGTGACTTACTGATCTAGACTAAAAGGTACTATTTTAGGAATTGTGAATTCTGTTTATAATATTAGCTCTACTGTTAATTATGACTTTATGATTTAAAATATATTGTGTAATCTCTCAAAGACATTTTCTTATATAGTAAGGAGAGATTACATTTGCTTTTTTTAAAAAAGGACATAGTAAATGTGAAGTAAACTACAATTAAGAAAGTTAATTATAGCCATTAGCCAGGAAGGTGAGAGTTTGAGCTTGCTTCATTCATTCATTCATTCATTCATTCATTCATTCATTTATGAGACGGAGTTTCGCTCTTGTTGCCCAGGCTGGAGTGCAATGGCGTGATCTTGGCTCAACGCAACCTCTGCTTCCCGGGTTCAAGTGATTCTCCTGCCTCAGCCTCCTGAGTAGCTGGGATTACAGGCATACGCCACGACGCCCAGCTTATTTTGTATTTTCAGTAGAGACAGGGTTTCTCCCTGTGGGTCACACTGGTCTCGAACTCATGACCTCAGGTGATCCGCCTGCCTCTGCCTCCCAAAGTGCTGGGATTACAGGTGTGAGCCACCGCGCCTGGCCTGAGATTCTGATTCTTAAACCGGAATTCACTGGTTGGTCAAATTTGAGATAATTATCTATCAACTTTCTTGTACATGATTCTAATTTGGTAAAAGATTGGGGTGAGGAATCAAGAATTTAAAACTAAGATTATCAAATAACTGTTTTTGGTTCTAGTAGCAGCCATTGTTACAATTTTGGGTGGGAATTGGGGAAGAATATCCTATTAATCTTTTTTTCCCCTCGTCTTGTTTTATTGGCTATATAACTGCTGTTTCACATAAAGTACTTTAAAGTACTTATCTCTATATTTAAATTCATGTTTTATAGGCAAGGCAGCAAATTTAGAAGAAATGTATCAACACTATTAATAGAGTTAGGATTCCAAATTAAAAAAAAAACTAAAAGATTGTATATCAACAAAGCCAATATCTGGAATAGTGCCTTAGATGCATTCAGAAATCGAAACTTTAATCCTTCATATGCAATTGAAGTAGCATATGTTATTGAAAATGATAATTTTGGAAGTGAGCATCCTGGATCAAAGCAAGAATTTCTGAGTCTCTTAATGCAACATCTTGAGAACTCATCATTGTTTGAAGGGTCCTTGTCAAAGAACTTGTCTCTAAATTCTCAAGGTAATTATTTTATTTATTGTTGTATATACCAAATATCACATGTATAGAAAAAGAGATAGATAGCTGGTTAGAATTGATATTTAATACCTGTGCTCTAAATATACTGTTCACTTTGTTAATAAACTACTGATAGAATCACAGGAAAGTGGGAAGGGGGAGTGATAGTTTAAAAAGTAAATTTTGTGGTGAAACATTTTTTATTTAAGAATATACATTCTTTATAGCAATATTCTCCTTAAAATAATCCATAATTAAGTGTAACTTTATCTTAACTCTAATTTCATTTTAATAGAGTGGCCAAATGGGGATGATTATTTGAATTCTTCCTGTTTGTATATTTGGAATTTGCGGTTAACATAGAGTTTTTATAACATAGTTTCCTGGTCCACATGTAACCAATTTTTCAGTATACTTTTGTTTGCAATATTTTTTTTTTTGCACAATTATGTATATGATGGTTTTCTGTCTTCACTATTGGTGAGAACTTAAGGTAATTATAACAGGCATCTCAAAACAGTGGGTAATTCTGGCATTCTCTTTTAGGGGCTTTTATACTACTTTTGCTGTAATAGGAAATTTGAAAGAAAATGAGAAGGCATTTCATTTCATTTGAATTTCCTACTATATTTTCTGTAAACATCCTAACCATTGCCTAAAGCATCATTTTTACTCTGTATAGTTCACACAGTTTAATTATAAACTCCCTTTAAAATAAAATGTAAAAATAAAGAAAAAACTTTCCAAATAGTAATGTTAACTCAAGGCAGCTTTGGTATGGTGGAGAGTACGTGAATTTAAATCACAGAATCTGAATTCAAGTTTGTACACATCTAGTTCTTTACATCCTTAATTACTTACTCTCTCTGGATCTCAGTTTCTTCATCTGTAAAATGTGACTATGAATATGTAGCTTGTAAGGTTATTACACAGGTATTGTTAATGTCACTTATTAATAAGTTGCTTTCAACAATTTAAAAATTAAGGAAAAATTTACTTGTTTTGGCACATCAAAGTTGCTAATACATTTGAAATGACAATTTTAATTCAAGCTCTGACAGTAAGGTAAGACAGCATATACTGTTGGGAGTAAACTTGTGCCTTTGGGAAAGATTATTTAGTGATATAGATCAAGAACCTTAAAAATGTTCCTATCCTTTGACCTACTAATACCATCTGTAGGAATCCTAATCAAATAAATATAAACAAGAATATGTGAGTATGTTGACTGTAACATTATGTCTCATAAAGTTAGAAATATCACTTAGCCAGGATAGCCAGGGGGATGGTTTGCATTATAGTACATCTCTAAGTTAGTCTAAATGCATTTATTAACTGTAGATTTGAGTAATTTTGAGTAGTATGATAAAAAGTTTACAATATAATAAGTGGATAAAGCATAAGTCAAACTTTTTATATTTATATACACAAAGAGGTACAAGTACAGTCATTTGTCACTTAGTAACAGGGATATGTTCTGAGAAATGTGTCAGTAGGCAATTTCATCATGCAAAGATCATAAAGTATACTTACGCAAACCTAGTTGGTGTAGCCTACTACACACCAAGGCTCTATGGTAAAGCCTATTGGTTCTAGACTGCAAACCTGTATAACATGTTACTGTACTGAATACTGTAGACAATTGTAACACAATGGTAAGTATATGTATATCTAAATATACAAAAGGTAATGCATTGTGCTATGACAGTATAACATCACTAGGTCATAGGAGTTTTTCAGCTTCATTATAATCTTAGGGACCACCTTAGTGTATTTGGTCATTCTTGACCACAACATCCTTATATGGTGCATGACTGTACACCAAAGTGTTCACAGTGGTTATTATGGTGGTAGGTTTATTGTGTTTTATGTTTTCTACAATAGATTTTTACTTTATATTCAGAAAAATGTGTCTTTTTTTATATTTTAGGTAAGATCTATATTTTCTACATAATGATAGCTTCTAAGAATTATATTTATCTAATGCTTAGATTTTTGGACTAATTTTTAATATAAAAAATGATGGTTATCTTATAATAATAGAAGTGTATTTGATATATTTTCATCTGTATTTACAGCTCTGAAAGAGAATCTTTACTATGAAGCTGGCAAAATGCTTGCCATTTCTTTAGTTCACGGTGGTCCTTCACCTGGTTTCTTTTCTAAAACCTTGTTTAACTGCCTTGTTTATGGACCAGAAAATACCCAGCCAATTTTAGATGATGTTTCAGACTTTGATGTGGCACAGATTATAATCAGGGTAAGCAATGTATCTGTTTATTAAAATGCACACTACATTCTAGGTATCTTTTAATGTAAATGACTGATCTGCAATAAAATAATAGTATTATCTATGAAGGAGTTAGGGATTGTAAACATATATTTCTGTTTACCAGTGGAGTTCTGAACCAGTTAAAAGATAGTTTTAAAAGTCAGATGGCTGGAGATTAAAGTGCCACGTTTAATGTTGGTAAAACCAGTTGGATAATGTGATTTTGGTCTGTGTTCACCATGGCTTGTGAATACTCCTCAGAAATACATGGATTTGCCTGCCTTGCTAGAGACAACGTGAGGCAGATTCCCTATTGCAAGCTAGAAAGCAGATGAAAGTGCACTTTGATGGAGGCCGATGGGTCTGAAGAGAGGAAGGATTTGGCTTACCAGTTAGAATACTTTTCCTTCCTTCTATAGGGAGGTATGAATGATAGATGGAGAGAAAGACTAGGCTGAATTTCTTCCAAAGGGAAACAAGTGGTAGGGATCGGGGAGGACTTAATGCGTCCGCCTAAAAATAGTTCATTTATTCAGCACTTATAATGGGACCTGTACTAAACATGTCACATGTGCAAACACTCATTTATCATAATGCCATATAAGTGTCATTGCCAACATGTTACTGCTTTAAAAACTGAGACAATGCAAGCCATTTAACTTTTCTTCCTTAACCTCCCTCCTACTTAAGCATATTCTATCCATTGTCTCAATTAACAGGCAGTGTTGTTTAATGATTAAAAGCATAGGCCTTAGCCAGGCGTGGTGGCATGTGCCTGTAATCCCAGCTACTCTGGAGGCTGAGTCACAAGAATAATTTGAATCCGGCAGATGGAGGTTACAGTGAGCTGAGCTCACACCACTGCACTCCAACCTGGGCAACAGAGGGAGACACTGTCTCAAAAAAAAAGCACAGGCTTGGAAGTCAGATTTTACTTTGAATGCCAACTCTTATAACTACTATATGTTGTGTCACTTTGGGCATATTAATCTTACTAAACCTCAGTTTCTAAATCACACAGTAAGCACTATTGAAGTGTGAGTTGCTACAGTGTATTACAACAATTCTGTTTATTTGCCCTAAGACTGCTTATCCTAACATCATGTTTTAAATTGACCCTTTAATTCTTCGTTTTTCTTTTTGTGCCCTCTTTACTAAAAAAAAAGTATATTTAAGCTTCATTGTCTCTACTTCGTATTTCCTATTTATTTCTTGTAATCAGGCTTCTGTCCCTACCACCAGTCTCAAGTTAGCTAGTTCATAGTTTATATCCAGGGAGCTAAATATCCATGTCCAAAGGCCTTTTCTAATTTTTCATCTGCTGTGACTTCTGCAATTACCACTTAGAATTTCTCTGCAATATTTTATTTAATATTGTACTTCCTCCTACTTCTGATGATTCTCTCTTCTTTAATGCTTCTTACTTCTTCTTACCCCTGAAACTTAGCATTTTTCAGTGTTGTCTTAACAGTCATCATTCTTTATTATTTGGAGAGCTTCTTCTCTCCTGTAATCTTTCTGAATGATTTACAGACCTGTATTTTTGAGCCCCCGGACTTTTATATACAGATAAGACCTGGGTCTTGCTAGCACATTGAGTCTAACATGTTTAAGATAAAAATAGTATTTTTCCCAGAATTTTTTGTTTGATTGTTTTTTGTGGGGCTTTTTTGTGTTTTTACCTGTTTGCCTTTTCTTTCCAAGAGACTTCTTACTTCCAAGCTGTCTTGGAGAGTCATTTTCATACTCCTCCATTTTCCAGTTATATGTCAAGTCACCTGCCTCTAAGACTGACTTATTGTCAACCTTTCCTTCCTGTTTCTAGTGTGCCTATTTTACCAAACTCAAATTTTCCCTAGGCTTAGACAATTAGAATGTTGTTCTAATATTCTTATTTGGGATGATTCTTCCAAAAGTACAGTTTTGACCATATTGCTTTCTTCCTCAGGAATCCCCCAGTGGCTTCTCATTGCCTGTTGAACGAAGTTGAAGCTCTTCATTAGGGCATTTAAGACCTTCACCTCTCTTCATGGCTTTATCTACTCCAGTTTCTGTACTTTTTATCCAGTGTTTGTTCATTTATTTAAGAAATACTATGTATTCTGTACTGTTTTGTTACTAAAGATAGAGTAGTGAAGCAAAGTATCTGCCTTCTTGGAATTTACATTAAGAGAGAACACAGAAGATAAACAACAAATGTAATATGCCATCACGTAGTAAAATGTATTATAATGCTAAATAAAACAGAATATGGCCGGGCGCAGTGGGTCACGCCTGTAATCCCAACACTTTGGGAGAACAGGTGGGTGGATCACCGGGGTCAGCAGTTCGAGACCAGCCTGGCCAACATGGTGAAACCCCATCTTTACTAAAAATACAAAAAAATTAGCCAGGTGTGGTGGCGCGCGCCTATAGTCCCAGCTGCTTGAAAGGCTCGCTTGAGCCCGGGAGGCAGAGGTGGCAGTGAGCCGGGATCATGCCACTGCACTCCAGCATGGGCAACAGAGTGAGACTCCATCCCAAATAAATAAATGTATACATAAATACATACATGCATACATACAACAGAATAAAAGGAGATGGATAAGGGTTGGAGTATATACAAGTTAGGTTTTAGGCTAAACTTCTGTATCTCATAGACCCAGAAAGACAGTGGCTCAAACAAGGCAGATGTTTACTGTTCTGTAAAATCCATTGTCTAGATTTTAGGGTAAGAGTTGGCAAAAAATGGCCTGTAAGTCACGTTCTGGCTTGTTGCCTGTTTGGTAAATAGTTACATTGGAATGCAGCCATGCCCATTTGCTACTGATCTGACTGCTTTCACGCTACAGTGGCAGAGTTGAGTAGCTGCAACAGATACCATATAGTTTGAAAAGCATAAAATGCTATCTGGCCCTTTATACAGATGGCCCTCTGTTTTCGAGATAGAGTTGTGATTTACAAAACCGTCTAAGGACTTGAGTTCCTTCCTCTCATTATCGTGTAACACTTAGCATTATTGTTTGCATCCACATGGTTGAAGCTTGCTCTTAAAGGAGAAAAGTGGAAGTTGAGAGCAGGGAAGTTTGACATGTTGTTTTTACTTACATCCCATTGAACAGTCATGTAGCCCCACCTAGCTGCAGCAAAAGTTTGGCTATGTGCCCAGCTGAAACTCAGGGTTGAGGGTTTGCAGGGATGAGGCAACATATACCCAATTATTACTCCGACAGGGTGTAAAGATAGTATTTTGAGCAGAATAGTCATGAAAAACTTAGGAGATTTCAGCAGAGATTTTGAATGAATGAAAAGAAGTCATGTAAATCTCTAAGAATGTTTTAGGAAAAGGAAATTGCAAGTAAATTTTCTGTTAATGGATTGTTTCCTATTTTTAACTTTCTCCATCTGTACCTTTAAGAGCTAACCTGTATGAAAGTGTCTTGCACATAAATGGCCAAGTATTTCTTTGTTTATGCTGTTCACTAAAATATTCTTGATAAAATTCTGTCCATCTTTTAATTCTCAGCTGTTACTCTTTTTCATGAATTCTCAGGTCATCTTTCTTGCCTATCTAGTACTAGGTAACTTTTCTCTTTTTTTTTCTTTTCTTTTTAAGAGATAAGGTCTCAGTCTGTCACCCAGGCTGGAGTACATTGGTGTGATCATAGCTCACTGAACCTCCAACTCCTGGGCTCAAAATCCTTCTACCTCATCTTCCAGAGTAGCTAGGACTACAGGTGTATACCACCCACACCAGGCCTTTTTTTTTTTTCTTTAGAGGGGGGCTAGCTGTGTTGCCCAGGATGTTCTTGAACTTCTGGCCTCAAGCAGGCCTCCCACCTCAGCCTCCCTAGTAGCTAGTCTTACCTAGTGCTATATAATTTTTCAATGTCAGTTATTTCCTTTTTTATAAATAGTTTCACGTAGTAAAGTGGCATTATACTCTGGATTTCTTGAAGGCAGAAATAGACAAATTTGTTGAACTGGATGATCAGACATTTATTCTAGAAGAATATTTCTTGGTTTACTTTTACTGCACCCATATGTACTAAGAAATTTGAGTATAAATTAACAAGTATCATTTGAAATGTGCATGTCACTCAAAAGTAAATGAGTAAAGTGGCTGTATTTTCTCCTTCATTACAGATAAATACTGCAACAACTGTAGCTGACTTAAAGTCAATAATAAATGAATGCTATAACTACCTTGAGTTAATTGGATGTCTCAGACTTATAACGACATTAAGTGATAAATATATGTTAGTAAAAGACATACTTGGCTACCATGTAATTCAGAGAGTCCACACACCCTTTGAAAGGTAAGTTGTTTCTATTAATATATGGCTCTTTCAAATTACATGTTTAAAGTGGTTAATTATCTTGTAATGTGAGATATATTTGGTAATAAGTGAGATGTTTTTCTCAGAAAAAAATTTAAATGCTATTTTTAAATAATAACTTAAGCCTTTTTAGGATGGTTACTGTTCTGATCATTTAATAAGCATTGTGTAGGTCGGGCATGGTGGCTCACTCACACCTGTAATCCCAGCACTTCGGGAGGCTGGGGCAGGCAGATCATTTGAGGTCAGGAGTTTGAGACCAGCCTGACCAACATGGTGAAACCCCGTCTGTACTAAAATACAAAAATTAGCCGGGCGTGGTGGTGGGTTCCTGTAATCTCAGCTACTTGGGAGGCTGAGGCAGGAGAATTGCTTGAACCCAAGAGGCGGAGGTTGCAGTGAGCTAAGATCATGCCACTGCACTCCAGCCTGGGTGACAGAGCAAGATTCCCTCTCAAAAAAATGAAAAAAGAATTGTGTAAATGTATGATGCTTTCATAGAAATAACCACTGCTTCAGATTATAATTTTTTTCTAAAAAATATTCTTTTTAAAACTCTTACCACATGAGCCAACTATTCTGTCTCTGTGCATTCATTTAATAACTATTTATTGAGTACCTTTTATCTGCTGGGTAATACATATATTGACCGTTCTTTGATTAACAAGGTATGTATGATTCCTGCTGTCCTTTAGTTTAGAACACTGGTCTAAGTTAGACAACTTATGTATCTCCTTACACTCTTACAATTTTTTTAAACAATGGAAATACACATATGAAAGTCTGTAATCACCATCCAGATCTAACACTTATTAACTTGTGCCTGTCTTGTTCATCTTTATCCTACCCTTGTTATTGACTCCAGTATTATTTTAAAGCCAATACCAGATATCATCTCAAACCTGATAAATTCATTTAAAAAAAAGTAGTATCATTAATCCATAGATTTAAATATATTTGATGTGTTTAAAATCTTTATAGTTACTATTACTACTGAAGTTTATATGTCTTGGACCAGTATAAGTCTCTTTATATTATTGTTTTTAATTCTTTCGATGTGAGCCTTAATGGTCTTTGTAAGCTTTTTTGCTATATGGTATCACAAGGTGTTTCAGACTCATTTTGTACATTTTAGCCTAAGGAACCTTTGTTATTTTTAATGGGAAATGGGTAATTCACAACCACAGTCTGGATGCTAGAGATTCTTAGTTTTGGTGGGTTGGTCATGGTATCTAGACCTTTTCATTGAACCCAAATTAGAAAATCAAGGGTTTTTAAATCTATTTTAATCTATTTTGTTTTTTTTTTTAAAATCAAACTTTTTTTTAAAGATACATTATGAGTGTGTCCTGATAATTCTAATTCAGATTCTCTATTGCATGATTTTTACTTAACATTTTCTTTGTCCTGTGTTGAGAATTCCAGTTCTTAATGACACTGGAGAATTTAAGTATGAAGCAACTATTTCATGTGATTTATTCCACATTTCATAACCAATAGTCTCAGAATAACAATACTAACATTATCAAATTGTTGTGCTTATAAGTCATTGGAATATTTTATGTGTGGCTAAAAATTGAGCATAAATTGCATTTTCATTTTTTATTTTTAGTGATTAGTTTTTATTAACATTTCATTTTATTTTAAAATTATATAAAATGTTTTATATAGTTCCAAAGTCAAATGTATAATAAGAATATATTGAAAGTATATACAAAGAAGTATAGGTTTCATCCTTACTATGTCCACCATTCAACCCTTTATGAAGTAACCATTTTGGCAACTTTTTTGTGGTTTATTCTTTTATTATTTGTTTTTCTTTTTAATGATAACAGATAAACATGTGTGTTCTTAGCTCATTTTATGCTGCTATAACAATACCTGAGACTTGGTAATTTATAAAGAAAAGAAATTTATTTCTCACAGTTCTGGAGGCTGGGAAGTCCAAAGGCATAGTGCCAGTATCTGCTCAGCATCTGGTGAGAGCTGTCTTGCTGTGTCATAGCATTGTGGAAGAGCAAGTGAGCACTCAACCCATAGGTGTGCCCTCGAAATCAGGCTGAACTTACCCTTTTTATCAGGAGCTCACTCCCACAATAATGATATTAATCCATTTATGAGGGCGGAGCCCTTGTGACCTACTCACCTCTTAAGGACCCTATCTCCCATTGCTGTTATACTGGCCATTAAATTTCAACATGAGTTTCGAAGGAACTCATTTGAAACCATAACATTCTGCTCCTGGCACTCTAAAACTCACGTCCCACTCACATACAAAAGAGTATCTGAGGAGGTGAATAGGAAATTTAGAAAGTCAGGCAAAAATGATATGTTTGTTCTTTGCTTATTAATGAAAATGTGCATTTTAAAATATTCAGTTGTTACTTGCATTTCTTTTGTTAATCATATATTTTTTGTTCATTTTCCCTATTGATCTTTCAGAAGAATTTGTATTCTTTGCATAAAATTAATTTTCTGTCATATAAAATATCTGTCATTTGCTTTATCTTAATTTCTTTTTAGCAATACATGGGTTTTAAATTTTTATGTAATGAAGATTTATCACTCTTGGTAATATCTGGGAAACTTTATTTTTATAATAATTAGCTTTGAAGTGTAAAACACTTCAGATTTTGATGTCTTTCTTACTAATAAAAACTTGTTAGTTTTGAAACTATAAAGCCAAATAATGTAGGTACATAAAATATTCATTTGATATTAATGTATTTGCTTGTTATGGATTTGAAAGTATCATGTGTAGTATATCCATATCTTCTCTTTTTCCTCACATCTGAAAATATGATTGTCTCTTGTGGGGGTTTTTTGGTTGTTTTTTAAAAATCATTAGCTGTTTTGAAAACATGCCAGATAAAATGCTGGAAATATTCCCTAATATAATACCAAACACACATGTATGAATGTTGGCTCATTATTTTTCTTCTCTTAAGTTTTAAGCAGGGTCTGAAAACCCTTGGTGTTTTGGAGAAAATTCAGGCTTATCCAGAAGCATTTTGTAGCATCCTGTGTCATAAACCTGAGAGTCTTTCTGCAAAAATCCTTAGTGAGCTTTTTACAGTACACACATTACCTGATGTGAAAGCTTTGGGGTTTTGGAACAGTTACTTACAGGCTGTTGAAGGTATGTGGATATTTTATTTTACTTTTAACGATCTCAGAATATTTGTTTCAGCATATTTGTTGGGGGTTTTATTTGTGTATGTTTTGCCTTTTGGTATTAATATTAAGATGCTAACTCCGTATTTACAAAAGAAAGTTATTTCAAAGCAAGTTTATATGACTGAATTAAAAATAATGAGAAAAGATTACAGAGTAAATTTATATTTTGTAATTTTTTTCTCTAGATAAGTTTAGGTGAAAGGCATTCTTTCTAGAAAACATTATTGTCACCGCATAGAACAGTTTTAATCCTAATAATCTATTTCATCATTTTCAATTTGAAGTTAAACTAAATTATTCTTCACCCACTGGTCAGGGCTATAACAATGATATTTATCATTGAGCATTAGCAGTGTAAAATCATTCTGCCTGATAGAGTGGAGAAGAATTTAACTTATAGTTGAAATTTTGTTTAGCTAGATTTTTGGTTTTTTACCGTTTAGTCTTTCTGTCTGTATTTGTTATATACAATAAGTAGTTGTACTAAATGATTGTATTAGTCCTTCTACTTTGAGATTCATTTATGTACTGTTTGCCTGTTACTACATCTGACTTTGTGATTTAGTTTGCCCAAAACAAATGTGGGAGTCTGTGCCTTTCAGTATTCCAAGTCTATTTGGAGAAGAATCTATGATGATAGCAATATATAACATGGATTTACTTTTGTTTCTTTTACTCTTTTATTGGTAAATTTTTTCAGATGGTAAATCTACAACAACAATGGAAGACATTCTTATTTTTGCAACTGGTTGCAGTTCCATTCCTCCAGCTGGATTTAAACCCACTCCTTCAATTGAGTGTCTGCATGTGGATTTTCCTGTTGGAAACAAGTGTAATAACTGTTTAGCAATTCCCATCACCAATACATATAAAGAGTTTCAAGAAAATATGGACTTCACCATAAGAAACACTCTAAGACTAGAAAAGGAAGAAAGTTCTCATTACATTGGACATTAAAATGTTTCCTTGAACAAAGAGAAGCTTCTTTAAAAGCTGCTATTGATAACTCTCTTTTATTTCACTAACCTTTTCATCATCACTTTGAACAAACTAGTTAGCTTCTTGACCTAATAAAATTTATGATATGAATATAAAGGAATATTATAGCCACTTAGGCTAAAAAAAGGTTTTTTTTGTTAAAGCATACTAGTCAAAATTGGTGATAATTTCTCATTTTCTTGATATAGATACTTCATAAACCTCAATATAAATACTCTCAAAATGGTTGTATGGATTTTATTTAGGTATGGTAGCATGGTTAATAAAAGTAAAAACTGTTTTACTCACATTTTTTGTAAATTAGGATTACATATAGAATGCCACAATTTCTCTAGGTTTATTCAATTTTCAAATTATTCCTCATTTTATTTTAAAGCATTAAATAGAAAAGCTAATTGGTTAAATTTTGTTATATAAATCAGAGTCATATATTCTGGGATTTGTGTTACTATGCATACTTTTCTAGGATGTCACCAAATTAGTTGTTTAAAATGTTTTTAGATTACTGATTTATATTAAGATGACCCACACTGCAATTAGATTATGCCTAGTGGGAAGTATTATATAAAAAGCAGAATTAAGCTGGGCACATGTGCTTGTAATCTCAGTTATAAGGGAGGCTGAGGTGGGAGAATCGAGATACTCAGCCAGCCTGGCAATGTAGCAAAGACTCCATCTCAAAAAAAAAAACAGAATTGCACAAATTTTCTGGAATCTATGGACATTCCATGAGCTTAAACACTTTTGAGGTGGATAACATTTAGTTGAAAATACCTAAGAAAGTGTGTCTTCTTTAAAGCCTTGGCTTTAATCATGGGAAATTGTTGTTGTTGTTGTTGTTGTTTGTATCCTATGTTTGGTATTCTGTATGTCTGATCCATAATCATTTTAGATATTTGAATGATCTCTGTGGATTGGTAGGTTTGGCCATTTGACCATTATTTATTATCAAGTTGGTTGTATGCTAAGGTAAGTTGACGCCATAGCATTATACAGTTATCTTCATTGCTCTTGAATGATATCTGTTATATAAGCAATGTATAAATAAAGTAAAAAGGATAGAATGAAAAACCCATTCTAATGTCACCACTCAGAGATAAGTACCGTATTTCTGTGTATCCTTCTATAAACTCTTTACTTCTGTTTCCTTTATTTTTTAACTTTAATAATGCTACTAAAAGACAATACCTAAAAGTAACTGTACTAACAAAGTGCTAACAATGTGAAAATATATAGTCCCATAGTCATGTCCCCATATTTATACTCCCACAGAAGAAAAAATTGGAAAACAAAGTCTGATGTCCTTAATCTATTAACATATTTAAATGATATAATGGTTCAGTTTTCCATGAAAGTAAATCATTATGGGAAGTAAAATGTTTTAACCATATTTTTCTTAATACACAAAGCAGGTGTCAGCTGTTGTATTCTCACCCTTCTTAAGAAAAATCATTACATTATTGATATTTTTTAAGTAACAGAATAGATTTGAAAGAGATAATATATCTCTTAATACCAAAGGAAAACTAAAACATAATTCTAGTGTACTTTTCTTTGTTCCCTCATGTCTTTTTCAATCTGTACACTAACATACCTAGCAAATTTGTTTTACTTTAACTTGAAATATTTAAGAACATTAAACAAGACATTTCTTTGGCTTTGGTTGAATTTTTTTGTCTCACCAATAGTAATTGAAAGATCAATTATCAAAGAGTTTGAATAGCTAATATAAACCCCAAAGTCACCATACAGTTTTTATTCCAAATATGTTGATAAAAAGATATTTGTTTCTTTATCCACCTTATTTTTATTACAGCTAAAAACCAATACAAACCAATAAAACCTAGTTAAAGCTATTTTCTGGTTTTTAGTTGCAATTAATTTCCCCTAGGGTAGAAATTAAAGCTGATTAAGTCACACACACATACTTTGTTGGGGTGGGGGTGGCAGGTGGAGAGGCAGTGTACTTGGGTTAGCTACAATTAAAAACAGTATTTCAATTCCTCATTTGACTTATTTTATATATAGACAGGGCCTTAGTGATAAGATGGTGTAAATAATTTAGGATATTCATGTTTTAAAGTGAAGCATAAATATTTATTTTGCAAAATGTTTTCTAGTTTGAAGGATGTTCCATTATTACCATTTTTAGATTAATCTGTATGGTCAAGGAATATCAGAGAAACCTGTAGGTTATTTATTTTCTGCAGTGTCATTTTGTCAAATGGTTGGTATTATAATTGTTCTTTTCTTATTAATTTTATAACCAGTGCATAATTCTTACATTAGATTTTAAAAAAGAATTATGCTATAAATCTTTATAAATGTGTACATATATTTCTTAAATATTGCAATTGCCTAAATGTTGTATATTTTAAGGCTGTTTTCTCTTGCTCTTAATGTTGAGGAAAACTATAAATTGATCTATAATGCATCTACTGTTAATGGTTTTGGTTAGTTTGATATTCATTGTTTTTAAACACTTTCCAATATGGAAACTTTAACACCTTTTATACAATTCTCTACTATTCAAGATATTCTTTAAAATATCTCACCAGAAACTTACAATTTTATACTTTGTAATTTTTAGTTTCTGTAATTTGAGGAAGTGACTTTTTTTGTTTGGGTTAAGTAAAAAGCCTTTGATTGATTACCAGCATGAGAATTCACCTTGGTTTCTATTTTATGCATTTGTAAATTTTTCCCCTAATTATATGGAAGCTATTGGAACTTTTGTATTCAGTGCTAAATACTAAGTCAAGGGGAGTATATTAGGTAAGTTTTTTCAGTGACTGTGCCTTTAGCATTCAGTCATTATAAGAAAATGATCAGAACAAAATCATTACATTATAAACATGTAATTCTTTTATATAGTGATTATCATGTACTGCATTGTTACTTTAAAATAAGCTATTAAACTAGTTTTTATGGTTCAAGTAATGCAATACAAAGTTTCATGCTTCAAGTAATGCAATACAAAACATAACCCATTTAATGATGAATTACTTGAATGTATATTATCTGTGGTTTAGGAAAATTTGGATTGTCTTGAAGAGACTCAGTTTTCAAGTTCTGATTTTGACCATTATCTCTTCTAATTCATAAACATATCCCAGTACCTACACTATGCCAGGTATTATGCTAGGTGATCGTTTATATGTCAGCCTATTTCCCCCCCTTTTAAAGACTGCCAGATTAACCAAAAAGCGTGACATTTATAACAATGTTTTATAAATAAATAAATGTGTTTATGCCACTAAAGGTAAACTGCCTATTTAAACTAAGTAATTTTTTGGGATTTAATAAGATTAAGATTCTGACGAAACTGAAAGATACAAGATTCCTTTACTCTCCACATTTGAGAGATCCTATAAGCAAGCAGTTAGTGTCTGACACCCAGGAACCTATAGAAATGAGGGAATCTGTGTTAAAACTATGTATCCTCTAATGTAAAATAGCTTACCAGAATAAATTATTTAAGCCAAAAATCTGGACTCAGATAAATGGCTATAGTAAATTAGGTTAATGAACAATCTGTAGCCATAGATTATTTTCAGTCTTTCTGATTCTAATAAAACAAATACCTTATTCAGTCTCAGCCTTACAAGGGCTATTTGTCTATGGTTGCTGTTCTTCTGTGAGGTGTATTTTTCTATAAATTTATTGCCCACATTCTGTGCACTTGGTCAGGAGTTTTTATCATTTCATATATATGCAGTGTACATCAATTTTAAAATTGTCTTCGTGGTTTTAACATGACTCATAGTCTTGGGAGAGAATCTGTGATGGAACTGAAGTGGCTCAATGATGGATTTGCATTTGAAAGTGGAAGTACCCAAATGAGCAAAATTGGGCTCTCAGACATTTTATATTTCATAGAGACTGTAGAATGCAGTAGAACTTTCCCATAGGGCAGAAATAATTTGTTTAGTTGGAACACACCTAGATCATTGAAGATTCCTTCAAAATATTAGTAATAGTACTGAAGACACACATGTATTCCAGTTAATTTCTTAATGAATGTGCCAATTAGCTATAAAAATGAGATTACATAATTTTTTTTTCTTTTTTGAGACAGAATCTCACTCAGTCACCCAGGCTGGAGTGCAGTGGCGCGATCTCTGCTCACTGCATCCTCCGCCTCCCAGGTTCAAGCAGTTCTTCCTGCCTCAGCCTCCCCAGTAGCTGGGATTAAAGGCGCCCACCACCACACCCGGCTAATTTTGTATTTTTAGTAGAGACCGGGTTTCACCATGTTGGCCAGGCTGGTCTCGAACTACTGACGTCAGGTGATCTGCCCACCTCTACCTCCCAAAGTGCTGGGATTACAGGCGTGAGCCACCGCACCCGGCAGAGATTATGTAATAAGATAACCTGTTTTAAATGTCACAAAAATAAATTTTTATTAATGAAAAAAGCCAGTGTTTCACACTATAAAACAATATATAATCGTTAGGCTAACCATTTCATTTATATAATTGTGAAAGTTAAGCTTTTGAGGTACAGAGTGATTTCATTTCAGAATTTGGTGCAACTTCATAATGAAGCGTCATCAATGAACTCGGGAAATGAGGTGTCATTGTGTATCCATTTTGGTCATACAGTAAAATCTATGGATTAAGTTAGAAATCATCTATCCCATATATTTTGCGGTCACGTGGCTTCAAGTGTACATTAAACCGCCAGCACAAGACCAGCCTGGCCAACATGGTGAATCCCCGTCTCTACAAAAAAAAAAAAAAAAAATTTAGCCGGGCGTGGTGACCCCTGCCTATAGTCCCAACTAGTGGGCAGTCTGAGGTGGAAGGATAGTTTGGGAGGATCGCTTGAGTCCGGGAGGTCGAGACTACAGTGAGCCGAGATTCTGCCACTGCACTCCAGCCTGAGCGACAGACAGTGAGATACTATCTCAAAAACAAAACAACAACAAAAACCAGCACATCAGCCTGGCCTGATGGTGTGCCCCTGTAGTCCCTAGCTACTTGGGAGACTGAAGCAGGAGGATCGTTTGACCGTCAGAATTTGAGGCTGCAGTGATCCCTGATTGCGCGCTCCAGCCTAGGCAACACACCCCACTACTGCTTGACTTCCTTCCCACGGCAAGGTGATTTTGCAATTACTACAAGGAAAGAGGAGAAATGCTAATTTCTCATTTTGTACCTCCCTGGATCCCGTGTCCATGCCGGCAGAACGCCACCATAAAGCTACACCTTTTTTTTTAAAGAGATGCGACTGAGAAATATGCCAGATCAGAGTAATGCTCCAATGCTTTCCGTTTCTCTGGAGAAAGGAGCAAAGGGAAGACTCCTGCTGCACTGAGAAACGAGAGCTAACGTTAAAATGTTGCCTGTGTTTCAGGAGCTTCATTTACTTCAGTCCTGTGGTCCTTATACTCCTAGAGCATTATCACCCTTTAAGTGCTCTGTAAGTCACCAAACCAACAGTTCAGTAATTAGGTTCTTAGCACTACACGCTCCTACCCTAACAGCTCAATTTAATGTTGCTACCATTTGAGAGAGTGTGGCTTGATTCGGTAGGATAAAAACTCTTAGTATTCGCCTAACATTACGGGCCACTGAATTAACCTGCACCGGGTCTCCCAGTTCTACCGAGAGTGGAGGTCTTCCTGGAGGAGGTGGGGTCCGGAACTCAGGCACACCCTTTGGCCCCGCCCTTCCGGGCTTTGCTTCCGGGGCGGTAAGGGCAGCCACGTCATCCCCCCGCTCCGCTCCCCAGCCGGGCAGTGGCTCGTGGGAGCCAAGATGGCGGCGGCGGCGGCAGCGACAGCAGCAGCAGCAGCCAGTATTCGGGAAAGGCAGACAGGTACTGACTTATTCTCTTCTCCTTGAAGCTTCGTGACTGCCCCGACGACATCCTTCTCCTCTGGTGCGTGCAGCTCAGAGACCGATCTCCAGGAGTTTAATCCAGTCCCTAGAACATCAAGAGCCCCTCCCCTTTGAGTTTTTGGGGAGAAGTTGCCATTAGCTTGAGGACTCGGTTCCTCCTGTGGTGCAGGAGAAGGAGCTTCAGCGGTGGGCGGATTGCTACGGCCCTGCTCTTGTCTCCTTCCTAGTGGGCATCAGAAGGCCATCACAACAAGATCTAGCAGCTGATAGCTTCTTATCTATGTTGCCACCTATGAGGTCTCCGAGTTTCTGTGCGTGGTTCAGTTCTCCTGGTTTTGATTTTTAAGAGAACTCCCATTTTCTGACACTCAGAGAATTTAGGTATTTTCACAGCGGCTTGCTTTGCGCCACTTCTCTACTTCGGACCAGTCTTTTGGGGGTACCTGCAGAAAAATGCCTGGTGATAAACATTTTCTCCTTCAGCTTGCTGGAAGGCATTGAAGAATGGCAAAACAAATGAATTAATAGCTTTCTCATTTTAATTGTTTGACACATTGTTTTAAAATAATATTTTATCTTCAATAGAGCATGTTTATATAGCTTCTATTTATGCAGAGAAATGTAAAAAGGCACATATTCTTCTCTTGAGTTTTGGGTTTTTTTCCGTCTTAGAAATTAGTTTTGCCTTACTTGAAAACTTCTCATGACAACTTGGTTTATACCTGTTAGCTACAAACTAAAGGTTTATACTTGTTAACTAGTTGTCTTAAAAGTTTTCAAGCAATTTATTCTGAGGAGCTAATAGAAATAAGGCATCAAGAATGTGCATACTTGGAATTCTGTTTCCTGAAATTATGCTCTGTTGGATATAAATATGAATAGGAAAATAAATTTATAATTCATATGACCTACAGAAGGGATTTGGGCTGTACTTGATTCCTTCCTTTGGCATTTAAAGAAAAAGTGATAGACTTCAATTTAGTAATGACACACAAAAGATACTGAGTTGCGTTCTGCTTTTCCCAGTAAATAATTTAGTATAACCTATCAGGTGAAGTCAGGCATAACTAAATATAGGGAAGTTCAAATAAGATTTGGGGCATACCTGCCATTCGTTGTATATGTTTAAACAAATGGAAGCTCCATTTGTTTTAATACTGTGTTTCTGATGACTATACTACATATTAAAATAACGTGTCAGTAAAACTGTACCAATACAAGAGAGCTTTTTGAAAAATAAATTTGCGTGGCCGTAAACTTGTATGCAGAAATTTTGTAGATCATTAAAATCTAATCGTTTGTATTTCTGCAGAAATAAACATAGTAAGATTTTACAGAATTACTAGGTAGTGCTAGATCTATTTTTTATCAAATTTTTACTGTCATTGAATTCTGCCTTATTTTCAGAGGAAGGTAAATCCTTGTATATATATTATAATGCAGAATTAGCTATTTCCCTCATGCCTATGGAGAATGTTTTGGGAGATAACTCACAGTCCTTAAATATTCTAGATACTAGAATATTTGGGTGGATGAGATAATAGTTGGCATTTATTGAGCATTTACTATTGTTAGGCATTGCATTAGGTGATTATGTATTATCTCCATTTTACAGGTGAGGAAAGTAAGATAGAGGTAAACTAACGTGCCTGTTTCTTGCTTTGCCTGCCTGAAAAATCTTTATTGGTCTCCTGAAAAATCTTTATTGATCTTTTGAAGGTCATCCCACAAGCCATCTCCTTTCTTCCTGGTTCACTGTCCCCTCTATCCATACCTTCAGTTCAATAGGTAGAATCAGTTGCCTCCTGCTCCGTGTTACTGTTGTTCTTCATTGAATGCGTCTTCGTTACAGGTTCTTGCACATCTTCCCAGCTTCTCAACATTGCAGGGTCCCATTAGTGTTCTCATCTAGCGCCTTAGCTTTCAGTATTATCTGTATGTTGATGATTCCCAGGTTTATATCCCTAGTCTGGCCGTCCCATCTGAACTCAGTCTACTCCATATCAGTTAATGGCAGTTCCGTCCTTTTAGTTGTTCAGGTCAAAAACCTTGAAGTTTTCTTGACTTGTCTCTTTCATGTCTCATGTAAGATCTTTCAGTAAATCTTGTCAGTTCTACTCTGAAAATACATCCAGGATCTGACTGTTGTCATTGCTATTCCGAGGTCCTGTCCACCATGAATTTCTGCAGTAACCTATTTGGTCTCTTTGCTTTTACAATCCTGTTCTCCTTCATTATTTTTCACACAGTACCCAAACTGATCATGCCATATGTTTGCTCAAAATCTTCCAGCATCTTCCCATTTCAACCATGATAAAAGCCAAAGTGATCTTACAGTGTTCTACAAGGCTTTATACGATCTGGTTTCCATGTAGCTTTTGGACCTCACTCCCTATTTCTCTTCCCTCTCCTTGAACCCACCAGGAATGCTCCCACCTTCGAGCCTTTGTATTTGTTTCTTCTTTGTGGAGTACTGTTTCAGAGATAATCTCCATGGCTCACTCCCTCACTTCCTTTAGGTCTTTACTCAAATGTTACCTTCTCAGGAGGCTTTCCCCAATTATTCTGTTTAAAATTACACCTCAACTCCATCTTCCCCTTTCCCAATCTTACCTTTCTTCAAAGCACTTACCATGATCTACATACCATATGTTTTACTTTTTTTTTATTTTATTTTTTTTATCCCCCAATTAGAATGAAAGCTACTTGAGGACAGGCGATTTTATTCACTGTTTTGTTCAGTTGCTAGATCCCCAATAACTACAGTGCCTGTGGTGAGCACTCATCAAACGTGTTGAATGAATGAATAGTGTGTATGTAAGTAATGACATTAACCAAGTCTAGGAATATGGATACAGGTTGAGTATCCCTTATCCAAAATGCTTGCGACCAGGAGTGTTTTTGATTTTGGAATATTTGCATTATTACTGGTTGAGCATCCCAAATTTCAAAATCCGAGCACCAGCTTAAAAAATTTTGATTTTGGAGCATTTCAGGTTTCAGATATTAAGACTTGGGATGCTCAACCTGTAGTATATTTAGAGCCAATAAGAAAAATGGTTTGTCATTTCAGATAAAGTCATGGTTTAAGCCTTGGGTAAACTCTGATAAAAGTAAAATTACGTTCTTGTAAACTCTGAACACAGGCCGTGTACTCCATTAACAAATCCTTTTTGTTATAGGTATAGGTATACCTATATAGGTATAGGTATATAGGCATATAGGTATACCTATATAGGTATAGGTATATAGGCATATAGGTATACCTATATAGGTATAGGTATATAGGTATATAGGTATATAGGTATATCAATAGGTATATTGATATAGGTAAAAGGTATATCAAAATACCTTTTAATAAGTTAGCCAAGGCTCAAAGTTGGAGAAAATCTCAGACTGGGCTGAGAAGGCGAATGTAGGATTATCTTATTTGCTGCTGCTGGCCTCTTTCAGTTAGCTAAGGCCTAACTGTGCAGCATACTAAACACCTGAGGCTCACATGGCAGCTCAGGCTTTCGTTCTTCCAAGTTGTCAGGCTTCAAGAGTGTGAACAGCTGTTCCCAGAAACAGGGTTTCCTCCCTCTTGGGCGTGAGTGCCAGGGTGGTGGTGTCTTTATTGCCTGGAGGTGGAGGAAGAGCTCTGCAAATGCACAGTGGGAGAGTTAATCCTGAAACCCCCTCCGTGCTTCCTGTGTTATTTCAGTTTTAAGTGTTAAACTGTTTTTTTGTTTATATTAAATATATTTAATATTATAAATACATTAAATAAAATACATTTTTATTTAATGTAAAACCTGTGGGCCTCTGAAGTAGGTAATATTGGTAATGTGTATTTTTGGCTGGACATTAGGTAATAACATTTTACCAAAAATTATGTCTGTAGGTGTATGGTAAATACACCTGATAGCAATAACTTAAGCGTGCCCTGAGAATGACCCTGTATTGCAGACACACCTGGATATGTGTTTCAAGCTAGGGAATCAAAATGGCCCACCTGGAGATTCATTCCTTGTCTGTGAGGAACATCTGAGCCCCCAGCCCATCCAGTGAAACATAGGCCATGCAGTGGATCAAGGCCCCGAGTTTTGGGTTGAATGAAGGTTGCCAGGTGGAGGTTGTTAGGGAAATGTTAAGTGAAAATGCTGTATAAACCACATTTTTGCTATATAAACCACTTTTTGCATGCAGTTATGGTTCTCCTGCCCAGCGCATTGCCACTGAGTATACAGTTCTCCTGTCCAGCCCACTGTCACTGGACTCTCCTATGTGTGTTGCCCCCATTAAAACCCTGTGTCTCATTTCCTGGCTCCGGGTCTCTTCTTAGGCCTCTCAAACATGGGTATCTTCCCCACTGGAGGCAATAAGGGTTCGGCACAACAGTATGTACACACACATAAGTATGCAAATGTATCACTGAAGTACAATCTGTTCAGTAATAGCAGTTTTAACAGCATTATACCTACCTCAGCAAGCAAGCATTTAATAGAAGTTTTTCTTGTGAGTGAATGAATATGCTGTAAGTTGATATTCAGGTGATTTTAGTATTACATAGTTCTCTCGTAGGACTTTGGAGTATAGGTTATTCTGTATTACTTAAAGCCTGATGCAAATGTTTTTAACAATCAACCAAGTGGATTTTAAGGCTGTCAATTTTATAAAAATTAAATCAAGAAATTACAACTAGTATACTCTCTTGAATATTTGGCCATCTCAGTTTCACGAAGAAGTATATTAAGGGATTTTCATTTTCTGTAACACTGTTACAGATGAGTGATAAATAACACAAAATACTGTAACAGACCCGTAACTGTGATTTTTGATGTTGTATATTTGCTTAGCTGGAATTATCAGTTATCTACTATATGGGAAAGTCTGTTTTCCCAAGGGACATAGAATTTTAAGCAACTTTTCGGTGAATCTGACAGGATAAATTGTTTGTAAAATATACTCTTACATAACTATAGACAGATCTGTATGAAGGTTTTGTATATGAACCAATTGAATATGCCATGGATAATTTTGTTTTTAGAAAGACTGATCCAGGCCGGGCGTGGTGGCTCACGCCTGTAATCCCAGCACTTTGGGAGGCCAAGGCGGGTGGATCACCTGAGGTCGGGAGTTCTAGACCAGCCTGACCAACACGGAGAAACCTCATCTCTACTAGAAATACAAAATTAGCCGGGCATGGCAGCGCATGCCTGTAATCCCAGCTACTCGGGAGGCTGAAGCAGAACTGCTTGAACCTGGGAGGCAGAGGTTGTGGTGAGCCGAGATCACGCCATTGCACTCCAGCCTGGGCAACAAGAGCGAAACTCTGTCTCAGAAAAAAAAAAAAAAAAAAAAAAGAAAGACTGATCTTTCTCACTAGGCCACTCACACTTAAAAAAAAAAACAGACAGACAGACTGATCCTTCTCACTAGACCACTCAGACTTAAAAAAAAAAAAAAAAAAGACTTACCTTAATCTATGCTTTCAGCCAGACAGTACACAGGCAACAGCATCAGTATATTGAGGCCATTGCAAGTTCTTCCTGAACATTTCCCGCGATTTCATCTGTGGACAGATGCTTATTGTGTTTTGGGAAATCTCCCAAATACATGTCAATTAGCTGTCGATGGAATAGTCTTACAAGATCTGACCCCTAGTTCTACACATATAGTCATTTGGTTAATCAGTTTTACTAGAGTTGATTAGTTTATTTTGCTTTGGGGTAGTGAATGATGATGGAGGAAAAATAAAATCCTAAAAAACAATGACAATATTTGATAAAACTTTTTATTTTCAGTGGCTTTGAAGCGTATGTTGAATTTCAATGTGCCTCATATTAAAAACAGCACAGGAGAACCAGTATGGAAGGTAAGAGTTTATCTTAATGGGAACTGATTTCTGTTTTTCTCAGCCCTTATTGGTGGTAATTGGAGGGAATTTATTGTAATATGGAAGAAGTAACACATATTAGTTATCATGAATGTTTTATCCTTATTTAACATGATCTCTTAATATGAATTGTTTTGACAGACATTCTATGGAGTGAGACAAGTGATAAAATAGTAATTTTCATCTAGGGAGTCCAGTTGATCTCTTTGGTAGGATGTCACTGATAGGTCTTTTTCCTGGTTGATATTTTGTTCCTTAGCTTTTCAAGTCCAGACTTTGGATTTTATAAGCTTGCTCGGAGTTAGTCACATTCAGAGGGCCTGGATTATTTTAACAAACTCATGAGAAAATGATCTGTAAACTGTAATACCACTTTAATAATTTATGAGATATAAAACTTAATTGAACCAGAAAGCAATCTACAATCTTTTCCTTTGAGAAATACTGGAGAGCCTTTAAAAATTCCAATTCTTTAGGCTTCTTCATTTTAAACTTCATGCAGACTCTCTTTCTTCAGATGTTATAATACAGTTGATTGGGTTTAAACTTACTGGTTAACAGTCTCTTTATATTTCTCTCTTGCTAAAAATTAAGAACAAATCAACATGTTTAGAATTTAGGGTGTTTTGAAAACTCTCTTGAGTCTTTATAAGTCCTTTGGGTTAACTCTAAAAGTAGTTAAAGTTGTCTGTATTGATTTCATAGTTTAAGCTCCAGAGTATTCCCTAATTTTCTCCTTCTTGTTCCTTTGTGGGCATCTTCCTATTGCCTCTTGCATAAACTATACTTGCTTGTTTCTAAGACCAATATTGAGCTTTTGGTTGAAATAGTTTGAGAATTTCTTGGGTACAAATTTTTGTCAGATACTTTTCCTACCCATCACTTTTTATATCATTAAAATTAATAATACACATGTATTGAGATTAAAAGAGGGAAGATTTTTGAAAGATGCAACGTGAACCTTTTATAACTAGAGCAGAAAGATTTTTAGCCTCTTTAAAGGAAATCCTGGCATTTAAGAAAATGTGTTTTCATAACAACATGTTTCATTCTCTCATTAACAATTTCTTACTCCATAAATAATTATTGAGGTAGTTGTGAAAAATGCTTACCAGTTGAGGATCTCTTTTATTTGTCTTAACCGTGAAACTAATTTTGAGTTAAAAAGCCCATTTGGAGTTCTTACCACACCTCAAAGCTGTCTGTTTTAATACTTTGAGAATGTGAGGAAGTGTATTTGATAGACTAAGTCTATCAAATACTCTTTAGGGACTTAATTTTTTTTTTTTTTTTTTTGAGATGGAATCTCGCTTTGTCGCCAGGCTGGAATGTAGTGGCGCAATCTCAGCTCACTGCAGCCTCCGCCTCCCAAGTTCAAGTGATTCTCCTTCCTCAGCCTTCAGAGTAGCTGGGATTACAGGCACGTGCCACCACACCCAGCTAATTTTTGTATTTTTAGTAGAGAAAGGGTTTCACCATGTTGGCCAGGATGGTCTCTATCTCTTGACCTAGTGATCCGCCCACCTCGGCCTCCAAAAGTGCTGAGATTACAGGCGTGAGCCACTGTGCCACAGCCAGGGACTTAATTTTTTTTAATGAGTATCTTTTTAACCTGAGATGCTTAAAATACTAAATTTTTTATTGTGGTCCTGGAACTTGTTATATATTAGTTTTGAAAATGGCTAATTTTTACATCTCTGTTTTTAGAAAAGATATATGTGAACTGGAAAAAAAATAAGGGTATGAACGTGAATTGGCTTTAAGTTCAAAGTTTATGATAGCTTAAGGATTTTATAGTCTCTATTTTTTTAAAACCTAGAAAAAAGAATTTTATAAGAAGAAATTGATATAATTATTTATTTTAGCCTGAGTAGTAATGCTTTAAGAACGTATTACTGCCTGGATGGACATTTGGGTAAATAATGATGGAAAATATTAAATTGAGGCAAGGATAACAATTCAGTATATATGATGTATTAAAATTTACTTCAACATTGTCTTAATATAGGTTCACTATTGGTTGTTCACTGATAATGATGGAAAATGTTAAATTGAGGCAAGGATAACAATTCAGTATATATGATGTATTAAAATAAAATTTACTTCAACATTGTCTTAATATAGGTTCACTATTGGTTGTTCACTGATAATGATGACACATGGTTTTTTTTAATAGGTACTCATTTATGACAGATTTGGCCAAGATATAATCTCTCCTCTGCTATCTGTGAAGGAGCTAAGAGACATGGGAATCACTCTGCATCTGTGAGTTTTTACATATTTCTAATAGTGGTATTCATTTAAAGAACATTTATAGAGAAAAATAGTGTTAGGTTACAGTATTTATGTAGTATTGAACATTTTTTCCCTGTATCTTCTTTATTCAACCCCTTATTTCTGGGATTTAAAAAAATCCTCAGTCTGAGGCTTTATAATTTCAGAATTTAAATTTTCTGCCTTGTGGCTTTTCCTTAGATTTGGTTTACCCTCTATGTAAAGGAAAAGAACTAGTAATCTTAAGGTCTCTTCCAGCTCTAAAAGTGTTTTGTTCCTTTAATTTAAATACACAGATTCTCCTTGACCTACAATGGGGTTACATACTTATAAACCCATCATAAGTTGAAATTTTGTAAGTCAAAAAAATGCATTTAATACACCTAACCTACCAAACATCATAGCTTAGCCTCTCCTACCCTCAGCATGCTCAGAATACTTACATTGGCCTACAGTTGGGCAGAGTCAGATCTAACACATAGCCTCCTTTATAATAAAACCGGGCACGGTGGCTCACGCCTGTAATCCCAGTACTTTGGGAGGCCAAGGCGGGCAAATCACAAGGTCAGGAGTTCGAGACCAGCCTGGTCACGTGGTGAAACGCCATCTTCACTAAAAAAAATACAGAAAATTAGCCAGGCATGGTGGCAGGCACCTGTAATCCCAGCTACTTGAGGCTGAGGCAGGAGAATCACTTGAACCCGGGAGGCAGAGGTTGCAGTGAGCCGAGACTGTGCCACTGCACTCCAGCCTGGGCAAAAGAGCAAGACTCTGTCTCAAAATTTAAAAAAAATTAATTAATTAAAATAAAAATAAACTGTTGAATATCTCACGTAATTTATTGACTGCAGTGCTGAAAGTTGAAAACAGAATGTTTTTATAGGTGCTTAAAATATGATTTCTATTGAATATGCACTGCTTTTGCACCATCATAAAGTCAAAAAATCCTAAGTTGAACCATTGTAAGTCAGGGAGTGTCTATATTTTTTTAAAAAAAAGGAATATCTAATTAATCATTAATATGAAAAATTTAAGTGACTATGAAGTAATGACTGTTAATCACCATAGTGGGCTATCTGTGTTGTCTTAACTGTTAAGTTTGTGTGATTATATTGCTTCTGATATGTTTAATAAAAATAAAACAAATGCAGTACTTTATGGGCTTGCCTAGTAGAACATTTGGAGAAGGGGCCAGGCACAGTGGCTCATGCCAGTAATCCTAGCACTTCTGGAGGCCCGGGTGGGCGGATCACTTGAGGTCAGGAGTTCGAGACCAGCCTGGCCAACATGGTGAAACCCCGTCTCTACTAAAAGTACAAAAATTAGCTGGGCATGGTGGCGTACCCACCTGTAATCCTAGCTACTTGGGAGGCTGAGGAAGGACAATTGCTTGAACCCAGGAGGCAGAGGTTGTAGTGAACCGAGATCGTGACACTACACTCTGGCCTGGGCAGCAGAGCAAGATTCTGTTGAAAAAAAAAAAAAAAAAAAAAAAAAGAACGTTTGGAGAAGGACTGTGTTCATGGATAGATACTAATACTTCTGTATACTAAAAGAGTCCAATTTTATGGTGTTCTAAGCTATTTGCATTTTGTTCTATTTATGATGTTATAACCAATTTTTATGATATCATATATTGAATTGAAATGTACTCTTACTGGGAATATAGTTTTAGATTTTCGATAAGTAACTTGACAGAATCTGGTTTAATCAGCTCAAATTCTTCAGTTGTATAATGAGCATTTGTTAATAGACTGTTATAGTTTGTCAATTCCAAATGTCCTTTTTTACATTTCTGAAATTAGGATCTATCTTATCACTGATGATATGTCATAACTGGCAGCATTTTTATTTCTCAGTAGTATATAAAATATATTTTAAAAATTATGTTTTAAAATTGTTACCACCTTGGGTTTCATGAAATACGGTATTTGATGAGTTTTCCTTTCATTTTTATGTCAGACTGAAATAAGCAGGTTTGCTTTGATAATGTGTTAATTTTTATGGACTGAAGTAAAGTTTAACTTCATGCTATCCTTGGAAATTGTGGTTTATTAATAAACATTGAGTGCCATTGTCTCTGTACTAAGTGTTTAACTCCTTTATTTACTAATGGAAGGACTGAAGTTTAGAAGGCTTAAGTGATTGTCTCACATTTGTACAACCAGTTAATAACAGAGCCATGGCCACATTGCTTGACCACTAATTCTGTGCTGTTTATCTACTGAACTGTAATGGCTCAGTAACAGTAACTAACAGAAGTGAGGCCTTACTCAGTACTTCATTCAGGGGTAATAGGATAGTCTACCAGTTTGAGAGTCTCGTAATCTCTGCCTAACTTGCTACTTGCCACCAGAGCATGGAAATATTACACAGCTACCATGGTGAACTCTTGTGTACTTTGCCTCCAACCATTCTCCTCTATTTGCTGGAGAATACTGTATCAGTTACTTTATACCCTGCAAGCTGGTTTAGGCTAATTTGTAGGAAACAGTAATTACAAGTTTCCACAGTATGAAATGGTGGTTGTAGCCCATTAGACAGTTGGACAAGCAGTGTGAAAAAGACCACAACCTATGGCAGCCATCACATTATCATTCTTGATATCAGTGGCAACAGTTATTAAACACAGACTCACTGGCAGCATGTGCCTCTTTCCTCTCTCTCCTTGATTATAGAAGGATGACTAGAGAGAGGTGAATATTCCTCATATAAGCATGGTTTGATGTTGGGATATTTGTATGGAAATTGTTCCTAAATTGTAAAAGGAGAAAACTGTAAAATGACTTAATCTATAAGATGCTTACATTCTCTTATGAAACAATAAATAGACAAAAATAGATTGTCTTTAATTTTTAAGGAAACATTTATATACCTTTCATTTAAAAAATATATTTGATTTCATGTTTGGTTAAATTTTTTTATAGCTTCTAAAGAATTGCTTCTAAAATTTTTTTCATTGCGTCCCCTAGCTTTCTGATTTTCCCCTCAGAGAGCCACACTTTCCTCACATTCACCCTTCCCCTCTGACCACCACATTTCTATGAAAAGTGGGAATAAGATTGATTCTGAATATGTTTTAGTTCTCATTCAAGGAGAGTGTTGGTAGAAAAGAATGTCTGACCATAAGCAGTGCTAAAAGTGTGAGCAGAATAGAACAAATGAAGACTAACAAGAAATTAGGGTCTTACTAATGCTAATAAATAATAACAACACTGACATGGGAGAAAGATAGGTTAACTCACTGATTAATTGCAACAAGAGCTTTTAGAGCACTGGTTACTGTCCTTGAGCTAGTGAACTCCCATTTTGAGGAATATTGTTTTAAATAAGTGAATAAAAAAATAAGTTTTAGTTCCTTATGTCTTCTAGGCTTTTACACTCTGATCGAGATCCTATTCCAGATGTTCCTGCAGTATACTTTGTAATGCCAACTGAAGAAAATATTGACAGAATGTGCCAGGTAATATGGGTTCTTATTTTCTGGACTCCTGAATTTGGAAATGGATTTTTTTTTCAAGAAAAATTCCTAGATGTCCAGGGTGAAAAATCAGAAATTCCTATGCCTACTTTCTCACTCTGATTTTTGAGACTATCTTTGAATTCCAAATAGCCTGAAAGACTTAAAACTTTTGGCTGAAGAAGTATTATACAGTAGTCCTCTCATGTCCACAGTTTCACTTTCCACAGTTTCAGTTATCCACAGTTAACCAGGTACTGAATATATTACAGTATTTTGAGAGACCACATTCATATAACTTTCATTACAGAATATATTTTCTGTAATATATTTCATTACAGAATATATTTTATAATTGCTCTATTTTATTTCTAGCTATTGTTGCTAATCATTTACCGTGCCCAATTTATAAATTATAAATTAAGTTTTATCATAAATATGTATGTATAGGAAAAAACATATACGGTTCAGTACTACCTGGTTTCAGGCATCCACTGGAGTCTTGGAAAATAACCCCTGCAAATAAGGGCAACCACTGTACTGGTAAAGTCTGAGTCTGGCTTTAACAAACAGAAAGCCTAGGTATATTGCCTTTCTAACTTATATAGGGTTTTCCTTTTCTAAAATAAGGGTGAGATTAGGAAGTCCACACTGGTGCAGAAGTACTATAAGGTAATCAAAGACCCAGGCTCCTTCTGTCGCTGATCATTCGTCTTTAGTTTGTTGGTTTTCCTTGTCTTGCTTGTCGCTGCGCCTGTAGGCATCAAATCTATGTTCACATCAACAAGAAGAGGGACATGGACTGTGCCAGCCCTGACTGTTGATTTTGATCAGGAATTTAAGCCTTTCCAGAAACTCCCAGAAGACCTTTATTTATTTCTCACTAGGTAGAATCAGTTACAAGGGTGGCTGCAAAAGTCAATATTTAGATGAGTCACCCCAAAGAAAATCTAGCAAGATTCTTTTAGCAAGGAAAAGGAGAAAAGTAGATATTGGATAGGTAAGTAACAGTGTCTTCCACAAGTCACAACATCTTTGTTATTGACTGTTGAATCAAATTGCTATTTAAATTGTTAGTGACGTTTGCAAATTTTGTGTCCTGTGTAGCTTTATGATGCCCAGCTTTCTCTTTTACCCTGCGTAAACTCAAGTATGCTATTCATGAAAGAGGTACCACTTGCAATCTCTTCTTCTTTCATTATTTAAATAACACCTTTATTGAAATTATAATTTACATACCATACAATTCACACATTTAAGGAGCACAAGTGTATGGTTCATTGGTTTTTAATATAGTCACAGAGTTTTGCAACCATCACCACAGTCAATTTTAGAACATTGTCATTACCTCAAAAAGAAACCTGGTACCATTTATCACATCCTCAACCCTCCCCCATCCTCTTCCATCCCTAAGCTACCTTCTGTTTCTGTATATTTGCCTACTCTGACCATTACATATGAATGAAATCCTATAATATGTGGTCTTTTGTATATGGCTGATTTCTCTTAGCATAATGTTTCCAAGGTTCATCCATATTGTAGCATGAATTGGTACCTTATTCCTTTTCGTGGCTGAATATATTCCATTGTATGGATGTACGAAATTTTATTCATCCTTTTACCACTTGATGGACATTTGGATTGTTTCTACCTTTTGGCTATTAATAATGTTGCCATAAATATTCATGTGCAGGTTTCTCTGTGGACATGTTTTCAATTCTCTTGTGGCCGTAAACACATAGGAATAAAATTGCATGGTCAAATGATAACTCTATGTTTACCTTTTTAGTAATAGACTGTTTTGCGAAGTGTGGTTGCACCATTTTATATTCCCACCAGTAGTGTGTGAGGGTTCTGATTTCTCCAGATCCTTGCTGAACACTTACTATCCGATATTTTTATTGTAGCCATCCTAATAGGTTTGAAGTGGCATCTCATTATAGTTTTGATTTGCATTTCTGTAATTAATGATATTAAGCATCTTTTAACATGCTTATTGGCCATTTGTATGTCTTTCTAGAAATATCTATTCAGATCATTCACCCAGTTTTTAATTGGGTTGTCTTTTTATTGTTGAGTTGATAGAATTCTTTTTCTGTTTTGGATACTAGACACTCACAAGTTTATGATTTGTAAATATTTTCTCCCAGTCTATGGGTTATCTTTTCATTCTCTGGATAATGTCCTTTGAAGCACAAACATTTTTGATTTTGATGAAGCCCAGTTTATCGGTTTTTTTTTTTCTTGAGTTGCTTATGCTTTTGGTGTCATATTTAGGAAACCATTCCAGATTCTTGTGTTTTCTTCTAAGAATTTTATAGTTTTGGCTCTTACCTGTAGGTCTTGATTCCCCTTTGCATTATTTTTATATATGGTGGGATGTAGGTGTCCAACTTTATTCTTTTGCATGTGGCTATCCAGTTGTCCCAGCGTAATTTATTAAAGAGACTATTCTTTCCCTAGTGAATGGTCTTGGCAGCCTTGTCAAAAATCAGCTGACCACAGATATCTTGTTTGATTTCTGAACTCTCAGTTCTATTGCATTGATATCTATGTCTTTCCTTATGCCTGTACCACACAGTGTTGATATCTCTTGCTTGATAGCAAGTTTTGAAATTGAGAAATTGTGTCCTCCAACTTTGTACTTTTTTTCAGACTGTTTTGGCTTTTCTTGAATTTCCAAATTACGATTAGCTTGTCATAAGTTTTGTGCTTCTTTTGTTAAATTTATTCTTTCATGTGTTTAATGCTTATTATGAATGGAATTCTTAATTCCATTTTTAGGATTCTTCATTGCAATTGTATAAAAATTCAATTGATTTTTATGTATTTATCTTGTATCCTGCAACCTTGCTGAACTTATATGTCCTTTTGAAATGTATGCATCATTCTTTGACCACTTCCTTACTTTCTGGCACAATAAGATGTTCCAATATAGCCTAGGATTTTACTTTCTCTGTCTCAGCCCAGGATTCAGACATTTTTCTGAGGAGCTCTGGTTGCTTTCTGTAAAGAATGGTATTTAGGAATCAGGATCTAGGCATTAGGTATATTCATTGTGACTAGAGTGTCACTGTTCTTAGGTCCTCTCAATGGAAAAAGTTAGGAAATTATGTATTTATACATACACTTTTATATCTGTATTTATTTCTACAATTCTCCCTCTCTTCCCCTCACCTATCCAGATAAACAGATAACCTCCAAAACTGTTTCAGCTCAGCAACACAGGATTCACTCTAGCGTTTCCCTTTTCTCTTTACAAATTTGTAACTCCTTTCTCAGAGTGAAAAACATGGTTCCCAGTATCGTGAACATATTACTTATTTCTCAATCCTCATACATAAATAATTTCTTGACCTTGATTGAACCACTACCCTGATCACCTTCCTCACAAAGGCTCCAACCCCTCAATGTTTCACATTTTAACATCGCTAAAATCAGGTGCATCTTAAAATTGATCATGCCACAAAATTTTATTGGCATCATTAATTCTTAGTGTTACATAAAATGATGGTTCTTGTTACAGTCAATGACATCTTAGATTTAAGGAAGTATGGTTATTTCGATATCTATTTGCTAAAAGTATAAGAAGATAAGTAAATTTGACTTAAGAATTTGCATAACTTAAATTGCACTACTTTTGAGCAGTTGAAAAGAAATACCTCTAGAATTGGTAATTGGATTTATAACTTGTCTGTGTGCAATGAAGGATTTGTTGTGTCATCACATGTCCAGAACAGTTGAAGATCGTGTCTGCCAAATATAACAAGCATTTTACTATATTAGTGGACCATATCTGGATATTTTAAGAAGAATGCAGATAGGCTGTATGAAAGCAGTTTGTACTGTATTGTAATTAATGAGATTTTGTTGATAATATAATTTTATTACTTTATTAAGAAACATTTTAGTTACATCTGATAACCAGATAACCAGTACTACTTCAAAGGTTTTTTCTCTTGGGATACTTTTTTTGATTGTCATTTAAATATCCTGTCTTTTAAATATAACTTTGCCTTATAGTAGTTGAAACATATGTATTCATGGTCTTCTTTATCCTATAAGAATAAAGTTTTCATTGTATTGATAGGATCTTCGAAATCAACTATATGAATCATATTATTTAAATTTTATTTCTGCTATTTCAAGAAGTAAACTGGAAGATATTGCAAATGCAGCGTTAGCAGCTAGTGCAGTAACACAAGTAGCCAAGGTAAGAGAGTTTGGTGGGTTGATGACATTTTGTCAATGTAAAATTTAACACTGTTCTGAAACCCGTAGTTGGCATAGATATCTATTTGACAGATGACCAGAACAACAGAATTGTTTAGGCTCAATACTTTTATAAAGAGTTCTGATAATATAAATTATATTCAAGTTGAACTAGGCAAAATAAGCCAAACTAAAGGAACCTATTATTTAATGAATTTGAAAGACAGAAATAAAAAGCAGAATGAGTTTTGCTTTAGTCTGTGATTTGTATAATATTTTTAGGTCAACTCAGAAATCATTTGACAGTTGTATTGTCATAAACTGTATTGAAAGTATGTTGACATTGTTTTATCTGTAATCATTATAATCATCATACTATTTCCAGATATTTTTTTTACTTAGGAAAGAGGATCCAAAGTGCCCGTGTTGCATATTGAGATCCAAAGTGCCTCTGTTGCATATTAAGAGAAAAAGAACCCATGACAGGCCTGCAATTCTACATCATAGTGACTTTTTAGTCAGGTTCAGCTTCAGTTATAAATCAATTTGTAAAATATATTTCAGGTTATAATCCTGTAATGCTCTGTGTTTCTTGAATTTGGACAAGATATGCATTAAAGTTCCAGACAACTATCTAGGACAAATAAAAGACTAAACAACCATGCATATACTTTCTATTCTTTTTCTACTGATAGATTTTTCATTGTTAGAGTTAAATAGACCACTAATATTTCTGATTAGTTTTTGAGGCTTATGCCTTTAATCTTTGTGCTCAAAATTTATTAACTTCACATAAAATAATGGGAACAACTTTTGTTTTCCTTCTTGTTTTGTTTTGAGACAGTGTCTCGCTCGCCCAGGCTGGAATGCAGTGGTGCAATCACTGCTTGCTGCAATCTTCAGCTCCTGGGCTCGTACCACCCCACCCAGCTAATTTTTTTAATATGTTGCCCAGGTCTCAAACTTCTGGCCTCAAACAGTCCTCCCACCTCAGCCTCCCAAAGCTCTGGGATTACAGGTGCAAGCCACCTCACTCAGCCTTAATTTGGTTAACTAAATTCAGTGTATTTCAAATAGTTCTCTTAATTTTTCTCCTACTCTGCACTTCCAAAGAACTGGCATAACTTTTTCCCACTTTATTAGAAAAGTTCTTGGTGTAAAACAATTACTGTGACTTTTTTAGGAAAATGTGATGAAAATGATTGTTAAAATTGTATGTTTTCTTCAAAATTGATATCCATTCCCATCACAACCACAATTTAAGTTCTTGTATCTGCTTAAATTTTGTTTTCTGAAAATGTTATTCTCCTCCTTCATATTTATTGCCCAAAGACTTGTTTTTATTGCCTTAACTTACTCTTTACTCCTCATTCTTGTTCAATTAGGCTGTTACACAGTACAATTTTTAGTTATTGAATGTAATTAGGATTTTTTTTCATTTCTACCATTGGTAGGTTAGAGCAAACTAAATTTACTTTCAATATGGCTATATTGTAAGATTGATTTGTAAACCTTTTCTTTTGTTTCTAGGTTTTTGACCAATATCTCAATTTTATTACTTTGGAAGATGATATGTTTGTATTATGTAATCAAAATAAGGAGCTTGTTTCATATCGTGGTATGTAAAAATAGAAATGTTGCAATTCTTTGTTAACAAAATGAATGGTATACTGTAAGAAAAAAAGTGAATATGTTTAATGGACTTCAAAACCAGCTTGTTTACAGCAGTAGAGCTATAGAAGCTTTTTAAAAGCACACAGAGAAAACAAGGCTCAGACTGAATTTTATTACATTTAAACGTTTAATAAACCTGTTTTGTAAATTCAAAGAAGTACCAATTCTCTGACCTTTTCTATACCCCCACAGCAACTTGCATGAATGGTTCACTCATGGCAAGTAAGACAATATTTTAGTAGCAGATTTCAAATTTATCATCTAGTACTTTGATCTTGGACAAGAACAAGTTAGCTTGCTTCTCTGTGCTTATAAAACACTGGAACCAGATGATAAGCTCCCTGAGAGAAGAGAATGAATCTTTTGGTTTCATTGAGCTCTAGAGCATCTGTTCTTGTGGAAATTCCTAAGAGGATATAAGTATTTGCTCAATTGTTCATGTGAGAGATTTTTGACAACGGTTATTATTCACAGAAATCTATTTACAGTTGCATTTTAAATGAATTAGCAACTTATTTAAGTTACATATTTTAAAACCTAGTTTTCCTTAAGCCTTTAAATTGAATATGAATTGTGTTATATTGTTTATAAATCTGGTAAAGTAAAAACAAGCATCTTTACTTTATTCTTGATGGATTAACTCATATTGAACAGATTAAATTCTCCTAATCAGTCCCCTTTAACAAGTTTAATCAGAAAAATTGGTGTGTTGAATTCCCTTAAACATTTTAAATTTTATTAATAAATTCAGAATATTAAGTGGTTTTTTTTTAGGTACTGTACTTCATATACCAGACCAGACAAGTTTATAATTCTAACAAGCAAAATCTGCCCAAGTGTTTAAATAATTCTGTAAAAATAATTAAATTTGTAATGAGTGTAAAATTTGCTAAATATTCGTATACTTATAAGTTTAATTACATTTTTATACCTGCCAGCTTTTTTGAAAGATCACATGTTTGAGATTAATTACAAATTTCAAAGTGTAATCACATGGCTAATCACCCAGATTCTTAATAATGATAATAGTAATAGCTTGCTCTATGCCAATCAGTGTTTTAAGCATGTTACAATATGAGCTAATTTACTCCTCAGAATAACTTTATGAAGTAGAAATTATTTCCATTTTCAAGATGAGAAAACAGACATAGCTGTAAGTAACTTGATGAGGAAATGGTAGAGCCAGCTTACTAAACACAGGCAGTCTCACTCCAGAGATAACATTCTTTATCATTATGTAATCATATACCTAATTGTCTCAAATGGTACAATGCTTTAAAAATTTTAAACAAATATTCCTAAATATGATTATATTAATAGCGTGGTATTGATTTGCAAATATTTTTCATTCTAAACTTTCCATGGATTGGGAGCAAGGAGATTTATTATCTCAGTCAAACTAAGGCTGCTATCTTAGACAAAGCAACTGTTATCTCAAGTTGAGGTTATTGATTAGCAGTTTATGACTGTTAGGTCATAAACATAAAAGTTAGGGTTACTTTTCATTGAGAGATGTGGAACTAGGATATAGGACTCAAGGGCTGGATGCTTCCATGTAGATTTTTCTAGTGCCAGTAATTAACAAAAATGTACAAGTGATTTAACTAAAAGGTTTGAAGTGTCTACAGATCACTTGTGCCACTGATTAATGAAATGAATTGGGTATGTTTCCTTGAATTGATATCCCCTGAATTCACATAATGCAAATTGTATTCTTTATGATATTGATTTCTTCTGATTGAAATAGATGGTATTTGCAACACCTGAGTAATGGCCCATTTCCTTCTTTTAGATTCTGTGTTGCCTGATTGAATTATTTTATTATGTGTTGTCTGGGTGGGCCACGCTTTCTGTAGATACTTGGAGATATCCAGTTGAATTCTGCTTTCCTCTTATAGTAACCACAAGTGGTATTAAATTTTATATGTGTTTTCACTTTCAGGATATTGGGACATTAAAAATACTTTGTAGATAATAGTTTAGACACTAATCTTTCAACATATAGTTATTGATGTACTTCATCAGACACTGGGCCTTGATATTGTGAGAGGAAGATAAGTAAGTCAAGGTCTTTGTCAAAGACAGTCTACTCAACAATGTTTCTTAAAGTGTAGCCCCAAGGCCTATTTGCATTAGAATTGCCTGAGGTGCTTGTCAAAATTATAGGTTGTTCCCCCGCCACCCCGAGACAGAGTCTCTCTCTGTCGCCCAGGCTGGAGTGCAGTGGTATGATCTCAGCTCACTGCAACCTCTGTCTCCCAGTTTCAAGCAATCCTCCTGCCTCAGCCTCCCAAGTAGCTGGGATTACAGGTGTGTGCCACCACACCTGGCTAATTTTTGTATTTTTAGTAGAGACGGGGTTTCACCGTGTTAGCCAGGCTAGTAGTCTCAAACTCCTAACCTTAGGTGATCTGCCCCCTCAGCCTCCCAGAGTGCTGGGATTACAGGTGTGAGCTACCACACCCAGCCTCAAAATTATAGGTTTTTTAGAATTATTCATATCCATACAGAATCCCTAAAGGAAAGGGATAAGAATCTTTAATTTTTAAAAACGTCCAGAGAATTTTTCCCCATATTCCCTGGGTGATTCTTATACTCAGTAAAGTTTGGGAACTACTTATATACACTCTTGTAGATTAGAAGAGAAATTTATATAACTTAATATAAAGAAAATGATATGCAATGTTGGTTGTGCTGTAATTTATTTGCATTTCCTTTTCTGGCTGTAGTTGGGTAACAGAATCAGTAGTTTCTTGAGGCCATCTAGTGTTTATGAATAAAACTATGGAATATGATATTTATTTTCCTTTTTGTCAAAAATTTTGTAAGTTTACATCGTGGGGTTGTTTTTCTTAGTAGTAGTCTCCTAATGTCTGATATTAAGGTAGTTTGTTGTGGTTATTTATTTTTCTCTTTGAGGTGGTATAATTTTTAACAGATATTTATTCATTTAAAAGAAGTTTAAAGCAGGCAGGGTGTGGTGGCTCATGCCTATAATTCCAGCCCTTTGGGAGGCCAAGGTAGGAGGATCGCTTGAGCCCAGGAGTTCAAGACCAGCCTGGGCAACATAGGGAGACCCATCTCTACAAAAAAAATTGTTTAATTAGCCGGGCGTGGTGGCATGTGCCTGTGGTCCCAGCTATTCTGAAGGCTGAGATGGGAGGATCACTTGAGCCCAGGAGGTTGAGGCTGCAGTAAGCCGTGATCATGTCTCTGCACTCCCTCCTGGGTGACAGAGCAAGATCCTGTCTGAAAAAAAAAAATTTAAACCAAAAAATTTCACTTGCTGAGTTTTATTATATGTCAATTAAGAATTTAGTAATAATTTTAGGAGTTTTAGAAAGATGAGGCATAAGTTTGGGTCAACTTTTTCTCCTTTTCCTATGTCATTTTAGCCATTAACAGGCCAGATATCACAGACACGGAAATGGAAACTGTTATGGACACTATAGTTGACAGCCTCTTCTGCTTTTTTGTTACTCTGGGTAAGTTTTCCAGTCTTTCTGGTTATTCTTCAAAGTAAATTATTTAACAAGTAATTTTAATGTATTACACTGTAATGTGATTCGTTCTCACTTACCTGGATCTCTAGAGGTTCTCGAGTGGAGTAAAATATATATTCAATAGTATATAAAAACAATTCTTCCAATAACTTGATGTGGTTCTCTTAACATTTAACAGATCTATTGAGTTGTCATTTTAGATGTCTTTGGTAGTTATAATTTTCTACCATATTATTTGAATGGCTTGGTGGTGACTTCACCTATGTGCCTGTTAATTTTCTTTTAATATTTCATTATGAAAAATTTCAAACACATTTCTAAATAGAGAAATAAATGTTTGGTAACTATTAAGTTCAGATGCCCAAGGCTCCAGAAAACATTATGTATGTAATACTAATCTACCTATACCTTCAAATTTTATTTTTAATTTTTTTTTATTTTCAACTTTTATTTTAGGTTTGGGGGATACATGTGCAAGTTTGTTACATGGGTAAATTGCGTGTCACTGGGGTTTGGTGTACAAATGAATTCGTCACCCAGGCCATGGGCATGGTACCTGATAGGGAGTTTTTTGACCCTCATCCTCTATGCTCAGGTAGACCCCAATATCTATTATTCTCATCTTTGTGTCTTTTCTTTTTGTTTAGCTCCCACTTACAAGTGAGAACATAGGGTGTTTTGTTTTCTGTTTCTGTTAATTCCCTTAGAATAATGACCTCCAGCTATATCTATGTTGCTGCAAAGCATATGATTTCACTCTTTTTTTATGGCTCTATAAGTATTCCATGATGTATGTGTATCACAAATTGTTTATCCAGTCCACCCTTGATAGGCATCTAGGTTGATTCCATGTCTTTGCTATTGTGAATATTACAGCAATGAACATATGGGTAGATGTGTCTTTTTCGTAGAATGAGTTATATTCTTTTGGCTGTATACCCAGTAATGGGATTGCTGAGTCGGATGGTAGTTCTGTTTTAAGTTCTTTGAGAAGCCTCCAAATTGCTTTCCACAGTGGCTGAACTAATTTACATTCCTACCAACAGCGTATAAGTGTTCCCTTTCCTCTGCAACCTCGCCAACATCTGTTATTTTTTGACTTTTTAATAATAGACATTCTGACTGGTGTGAGATGGTATCTCATTGTGGTTTTGATTTGCATTTCTCTAATGATTAGTGATGTTGAGCATTTTTTCATATGCTTGCTGGCCACGTATGTCCTTTTGTTTTTCTTGAGAAGTGTCTGTTCATGTCCTTTGCCCATTTTTAATGGGGTTGTTTTTGCTTGTCGATTTGTTTAAGTTCCTTATAAATTCTGTTGGATGCATAGTTTGCGAATATTTTTTCCCATTCTGTAGGTTGTCCATTCACTTTGCTGATAGTTTGTTTTGCTGTGCAGAAGCTCTTTAGTTTAATTAGGTCCAATTTGTCTGTTTTTGTTTTTCTGGTGGTTGTTTTTGGAGACTTCAGCATGAAATCTTTGCCAAGGCCTGTGTTCAGAATGTTGTCTAGGTTTTCTTCTAGGATTTTTATAGTTTGAGGTCTTACATTTAAGTCTTTAATCCATTTTGAGTTTATTTTTGTATATGGTGAAAGGAAGGGGTTCAGTTTTAATCTCCTGCGTATAGCTAGCCAGTTATCCCAGCACCACTTACTGAATAGGGAGTTCTTTCCCTATTGCTTGTTATTATCAACATTGTCGAAGATCAGATGGTTGTAGGTATGTGGCTTTATTTCTGGGTTCTCTAACCTGTTCCATTGGTCCATGTGTCTGTTTTTGTACCATGCTGTTTTGGTTACTACCGTAAAAGCCGTGTAGTAGTATACTTCGAAGTCAGGTTGTGTAATGCTCCCAGCTTTGTTATTTTTGCTTAGATTTGCTTTGGCTATTCAGGCTCTTTTTTGGTTCTGTATGACTTTTAGAAAAGTTTTTTCTAATTCTGTGAAAACTGGCATTGGTAGTTTGGTAGGAATAGCACTGAATTTGTAAATTGCTTTGGCAGTGTGGCCATTTTAATATTGAGTCTTCTTATCCATGAACATGGAACGTTTTTCCATTTGTTTGTGTCATCTCTGATTTCTTTTCGTTTCGTAATTCTTGTTGTAGAGCTCTCTCACCTCCCTAATTAGCTGTATTCCTAGGTATTTTCTTCTTTTTGTGGCTATTGTGAATGGGATTGCATTTTTGATTTGGCTCTCAGCTTGGATATTATTGGTGTATAGAAATGCTGCTGGTTTTTGTACATTGACTTTTGCATCCTGAAACTTTACTGAAGCTGCTTATTAGTTCTGGGAGCCTTTGGGCAGAGAGTATGGAATTTGTGAGGTATAAGATCATATAACCTGCAAAGAGATAGTATGACTTCCTCTCTTCCTATTAGGATGCCTTTTATTTCTTTCTCTTGCCTGATTGCTTTGGCTACGACTTCCAGTACTATGTTAAATGGGAATGGGTGTCCTTGTCTTATTCAAGTTCTCAGGGGGAATGCGTACAGCTTTTGCCCATTTATTATGACATTGGCTGTGTGTTTGTCATAGATTACTCTTATTATTTTGAGGTATGTTTCTTCATTGCCTAATTTGTTGAGGGTTTTTTTGTGTGTTTTTTTTTGTTTTTGTTTTAGATGAAGTCTTGCTCTGTCACTAGGCTGGAGTGCAGTGGCACAACCTCAGCTCACTGCAACCTCCACCTCCTGGATTCAAGCAATTCTGCCTCAGCCTCCCGAGTAGCTGGGACTACAGGCACATGCCACCACGCCCAGCTAATTTTTCTATTTTTACTAGAGATGGGGTTTCACCATGTTGGTCAGGATGGTCTCAATCTCTTGACCTCGTGATCCACCTGCCTCGGCCTCCCAAAGTGCTGGAATTACAGGCGTGAGCCACCACGCCCAGCTGAGGGTTTTTTAAATGAAGTGATGGTGAATTTTTTCAAAAGCCTTTTCTGTGTCTGTTGAGATGATCATATGGTTTTTGTTTTTAGTTCTTTTTATGTAATGAATCACATTTTCTGATTTGCATGTGTTGAATCAACCTTGCATCCTGGGAATAAAGCATACTTGATCGTGGTGGATTCATTTTTTTGGATTCAGTTTGTTAATATTCTGTTGAAGATTTTTGCACCTGTATTCATCAGGGGTATCAGACTGAAGTTTTATTTTTTTGTTGTGTCTCTGCTAGGTTTTGGTATGAGAATGATACTGGCCTCATTGAATGAGATAGGGAAGAGTCCCTCCTCCTCAATTTTTTGGAATAATATTAGTAGTATTGGTGCCAGCTCTTCTTTGTATATCTGTTAGAATTTGGCTGTGAATCCATCTGGTCCAGGGCTTTTTCTGGTTCATAGATTTTTTATTACTGATTCAGTTTTGGAATTTGTTATTCCAGAACTTCAGTTTCTTCCTTGTTAAACCTTGGCAGGTTCTATGTTTCCAGAAATTTACTCATTTCTGTTAGGTTTTCTAGTTTGTGTTCATAGGGGTGTTTGTAATAGTCTCTGACGGTTTTTTATATTTCTGTGGGGTCGATGATAATGTTACCCTTGTCATTTCTCATTGTGTTTATTTGGATCGTCTCTTTTTTTCTTTGTTGACCTAACTAGTGGTCTACCTATCTTGTTTATTCTTTCAAAGAAACAACTTCTGGTTTCCTTGATTCAAAATGTAAAGCACTGATGTAGATTGTCTAAAATTTTGTTTAGTATCTAATATGTGACTTTGTGCTTTACTATCACTAATGGATCAGTTTAAAAGCCTAATTGCAATTTTAATTTTTTAGACACTTAAAACCTTTTTGTTAAAATGATTCTCACACTAGATTAATAAAATATGTCACACAAAAAAATTAAGAACTACCATGTATAGTCTTAAGATTTAGACAAATGTTTAGACATGTAGAGAATTTATATGCAAATTGTATGGCTCCCTCCTTTCAGGGATTTTTTTTTTCCCTTAATTTCCAGCCCTGAGCTCCAATTTTTGATTCTTCAGCTCAGTAATTTTCCTGTTTTCTGCTTGAGTTCTTTCTCCTGTGTGCCATGTAATGTGTCAGGTACCCTCAGGAGAAAAGCTGGTTAAAAATATATATTACCTTATGTGATTCTCTTCTTTCAAGAGTTAACCCCTCCAGTTTCTGCCTGCTTTGAACTGCTTTCATTGCCCTCATATGGTTTGTTGTTGTTGTTGTTTTATATATAAAGAAAGTACACGTATACAACTTTTAGTGTTAAACAGACATAATTTTCTTTCTATTTTGTCACCCCACACGGTCTGTAAAATTTTGCCAAATGCTAGGGAGGTTGCACTGCAACCTCTGCCTCCCAGGTTCAAGCGATTCTCCTGCCTCAGCCTCCTGAGTAGCTGGGATTATAGGCATGCTCTACCACGCCTGGCTAATTTTTGTATTTTTAGCAGAGACGGGGTTTCACCATGTTGGCCAGGCTGGTCTCGAACTCCTGACCTCAGGTGATCCGCCCGCCTCAGCCTCCCAAAGTGCTGGGATTACAGGCATGAGCCACCATGCCCGGCCAGTGATTTATTTTTCAAAGGAGAAATTGAAATTATTGCCAATCTGACATAGAAGGATGTCAACACTAAATTGTTACATGGGGAAAAACAAGTTTTAGAACAGTATATATACTATCGTATTTTTGTTTTTTTACATATACACACAGACTTAGTAGATTATATGTAGAAAACAACATGGAGGCATCCATTTCTAATTCTAATGGGGGTTGTGAGGGCTGGAATCAAGAGGGTTACGTTTATACATTTCTAATGTTAATTTAAATTTTTTATTACAAACATTTATAACTTTTGCCATCAAAAGAAAACACAGTTTTGAAAAATTTGCTATTTTGTGTTTTTACTTTTGCAATTGACTGAGTATATTCATATTTCCTATAGAATCTAAAATGTGACAGTTTGAGCATATAAATATTACAGTGTTCTCAGTTTGTCTTATGAGACTTTCAGTGCAGTTGGACTTTTTTTCTATTTAGGATTTCAACCTATATGAATAATGTGTTTTCTATTATTTAAATTGGTATTTTTAAAAAACTACAATTTTTTATTGTCAATTTGTAAAATAAACAAAAACTAGCAGTCCCCAAACTGCTGAATTAGCTAAGCTCTTTTCATTCTTTTCTTTTAAGTCAAATTAATGTGAAACCTGTGAGTAGAGTAAGCTTATGTATTGAAACTGCCTAGACCAGGTGCAGAGGCTCACACTTGTTATCCCAGCACTTTAGGTGGTTGAGGTAGCAGGATCACTTGAGCTCAGACCAGCCTGGACAGCATAGTGAAACTTTGTCTACAACCTTTCGAGTAGCTGGGAACACAGGCACACACCACCATGCCCAGCAAATTTTTTGCAATTTTTGTAGAGACAGAGTTTTGCCAAATTAGCCAGGCTTGGTGGCCTGTGCCTGCGGTCCCAGCTACTCAGGAGGCTGAGGTGGGAGGATGGTTTGAGCCCAGCAGGTCAAGGCTAGCCATGACTGCACCACTACACTCCAGCCTCCTAGCCTGGGTGACAGAGTGACACCCCGTCTCAAAAAAAAAAAAAAAAGGAAAGAAAAACTGCCCATAGGGGATCAAAATACTGATTTAGTCAATCCTTTGGAAAAAATGCAGTCACATTGATTGGTCAGCTCCATATAAAAATAGTTTTCTTCTGACTCCCTGTTGTTTTCTTTATTAATGGGAAGGTTCATTTCTGAAACTTATTTTTACCCTTGAAATTATAAATCCTTTTATGTGAGCTTGTGAGGGAAATTATAAATCCTTTTATGTGTGCTTGTCGGGGGAGGGTTGAAAAATTACCTTTTGAGTACAGTGTTCACTGTTCGGGTGATGGGTGCACTAAAAGCCCAGACATCACCACTATGCAATATATGCATGTAAGAAGGCTGTACTTGTACCCCCTAAATATATTTTTTAGTTTTTTAAAAATTAAAAAAATGTGGAAAAATAAATACATAAAATCGTGTGTAACGTGAAATTGTATGTATCTATCACATCTGTTATTTTTGATGCTGATGTATTTTATAAGTATCTATTTTAATTAAGAGCCAAGATCATTTCTAACATTTATTGTTAAAATAGGTGCTGTTCCTATAATCAGATGTTCAAGAGGAACAGCAGCAGAAATGGTAGCAGTGGTAAGTTCATGCGGATATCACGTGGAGATAAATAACATTGTGTGAATTGTTTTCCCACAAGTAACGCAACTGTTTTGTTAATATTTAAATATATGATTGCTTGGTTGTAGGTACCAATAGCAAATATTTTTATTTTATTACATTGAGATTGCACCGAAGATAAAAAGTAATCATTTATTTCCACACGAGAAAGTAAAATTATTTACTCCGGTGTGCTATTCCAGTCCTATTTCTTTTTTTAAAACTAAAATGTATATTCCTCATTCAACCTTGTCTCTCCAAGCAGTATTTTACACTTATTTGATCCCCCAGATTACTTAATATTTAACTTCATTTAGCAAATATTACTAATCATAACCATTTTTAAAATGAAGTGCTTTTTGCTATCCCACTATATTGAAGTAAAATATTAAGTATAAAGTAGGTGTTCATAAATTTGCTTTAAAGATTAAGAAATGAGTAAGGGATTAGAGAAATTATAGAATTACTGAAAAAGAAGGAGGTATTTTGGAACTTTATTAGCCCAAGTGAATTACTGACTGGTGGAAGACTGCCTTCTTTCATATATTCCATTTCTCTTCTGAGGCTTCTTGTACCCACCACTACTTTGTTCACTCCTACCCACCCAAGTCAACGTTTTCTCCATATAGACACCTTCCTTGATAAAACAGTCATGCTTAGGAAAAGAGTGTGCGTCATTACTGCAAATCGTTTCCCATAGCCAAAGTAAAATTAGTCAATGAAAGGTTCTTCTTAGTGACATCAGGCCCGACTCACAGTGGAAAAGGCACTGATCTTTGTTAAGTCCAAGTTATGATGATATGGAAGTGGTAAGACGGAGCTAAAATATTTAGATATTAGATTTGCTATTTGTAAAGAAATTCCAGGTTTCTTGGTTATGAAACTAAAAACACATTTTGAATTAACCTCCATAAAGTTATATGAAACTGTTAAGAGTTAATCTAAAATTTTATTTTTCAGAAACTAGACAAGAAACTTCGAGAAAATCTAAGAGATGCAAGAAACAGTCTTTTTACAGGTGATACACTTGGAGCTGGCCAATTCAGGTATTACTGTTATTAAATACACTTGTAAGACTTTAAAATATTTGTAGAGTTTTTTTGTTACTTTTCTTGGCTGATAGAATATCCTTGTAATTGAAATTTGTTTCTTTTTAATGAGCTAATCAGGATCAAGGTTTTGACTCATATTGTTCTTAAAATACAAGTGGAATATTTTATTCAATTTACCTTTTGGTAAAAATTTCTAAGCATTTTATCATCTATAAGAAAAATTTTTCTGTGTATAAGGCTTTGAAGGTCAGAAGCCATTTTCTTTCAATTATCATTAAACCGCTTGGTTATTTTTCACAGAGTGAAAAACTTGTGATACTTATATCTGTTTCTACCTTTATTAATCTGATTTCCATTTTATACTTAAATACTAATAGCCTAAACTTGAAAAACATTTTATTATTGTTAGCATTTCTAGCATAAGTAAGGCCAATGTTTTTGGCTGCTTATTATTGAATAGAAATACTAAAAAACCCTATACATTATAGTATATTTAACTTCTGATTGTTAATAGTAATGGAGTAAAGAAGTAAAGAAACCCACTCAAATGGCTGAGAATTGTTTAAAGAAGAGATTATATTCTGGAAAATTAATTCTTAACCCCAGTTTAGATGAATTAATAAATAAAGCCCAAAATAAACAGATGCCCAGAGAAATAACTGCCCACTAGAAGTAATAATTTCATAATAACTTTCTGTAGACTTCATCTCAAGTCAATTTGGTGTCTCCTACAGCCTTATAAACTGCTTGTATAATTGGGAGTTCACACTAACACTGTGTTTCAATTGTTTGGTTAACTGTCTCAGTTTCCACATTATTTTAAATGGTTCTATGATTTCATTTCTGGTCTTAAGTATTCTTCAAAATGTTTCTCATTAGGTAGAAGAAAAACATCAAATTCTCACCTGATCTTTTTTTTTTTTTAACAGAACCAACCACTGTGTCATATCTTACTTAATAGTTCCCTTTTTATAGCTCTCTGGGATAGGCCTTAGAAACCAGTATAAAGGCACTGTTTTATTTGGATAATTTTTTTAAATTTATTCACATTATCATAATATGGGCGTCTTGTTTCTCAACTTGTTGGATCTATTTCTTAATCATTTTCCTTAGTGGTCACAACCTTGCTGGACTATTGTTAAATACATTTGAATCCAACCATAGGCTGGTGATTTTCAACTAAGGGCAGTTTTTGCCTCCCATAGCCATTTGGTAATGTCTGGAGACATGTTTGGTTGTCATAACTGGTAGGTGTTACTAGAATCTTGTATACATTGTAGGATGCTGCTAAACATCCTATAATGCACACCACAACCCCCTATAACAAGAAATTATCCAGCCCCAAATGTCAGCAGTTCTAGGGTTAAGAAACCCTGCGGTAGGCCATCCTCCCTTACCTTCCATCTAGCTCTGGTAAATCATAGTAGATCGCAAGGGTGCCACTCTGACTTTTTATCCCCGAGTCAATGCAGTTAGGAAATCCACTGTCCTATACCCAGAAGAGTGTAATGAGTTAATTCTATTGCGAAAGGAAATATGTAAACAGATAGTGATGCCTTTTGAAAAGTGGTGCGTACTCCTGATATGATAGTGCCTCTAAAGCAGATCTCTAAAACTTCTGTAGACACATGATAACCAAATGACTGTGCCTCAATTTGCTTTCGGTGGTACTTTATTTCACATCTAAATTGTAATAATGGAGCAACAGTACATGAGGTATCATATGCCTTCTCTGTTAAGGGGATAATAATATAATTAGGTACCATTATGGCATTATGTTTTCATTTTGTATATTATAGTGGTATAGCGTTTTTTGAGGCTCTTCTCCAGAGTCTGCTTGAGTTTGTGTTTATAGGAAAAAAATTATAATTTATGAAACTGTCAAACATTTGTGTAAATTTATAAGCTCCTACTCTTTGTTTTCCCTGAAGCTGACAATAACTATTCCTTATTGCCTTTTTTTACAGAAACATCAAAAACTTCTGAGTAGAAGCAGCTTATTATTTTGCTAACCACAAAAATTATTCTTTAGAAATATTTATATAGATTTTTTTCCTTAAAGTTTCCTGGCAGGGCATGATAGTTCACACCTGTAATCCTAGTACTTTGGGAGGCCAAGGTGGGAGGATCACTTGAGCCTAGGAGTTCAAGACCAGCCTGGGCAATGTGGTTAGTTGCCCCGTCTCTAAAAAAAATTTAAAAATTAGCCAAGAGTGGTGGTGCACACCTGGAGTCTCAGCTAATTGGGAGACTGAGGTGGGAGGATTACTTGAGCCTGGGAAGTCAAGGCTGCAGTGACCTGTGATTGTGCCACTACACTCCAACCTGGGTGACAGAGTCTCAAAAAAAAAAATAAAGTTTCCTAAGTAAAATTTATAATCTGGCATCATACACAAGCTGTAACTAGTCCAAAGCATTACTGTAATTGTGTGACCACGTTAAATTTGTTTTTTAAAAGCCAGCCTCCCCCGTCTCTATAAAAATGTTTAAAAATTAGCCAGGTGTGTGATGGTGCATGCCTGTAGTCCCAGCTACTCCAGAAACCAAGGCAGAAGGATTGCTTGAGCCCAGGAGTTCAAGGCTGCAGTTAGCTATGATCGCGCCACTGCACTCCAGCCTGGGTGACATAGCAAGACCCTGTCTCAACAAAAAGCAAAGTATTGTGGTGCTTGCTTCAGCAGCACATATACTAAAAAACAAAGTATTAGGAATTGTCAATATTAGCATACTATTATTCATATCAAAATGGCATATACTGGAAAGTAGTAGAATATTTTAGATGTATACACTGGTATCAAGAGTTATGTAATTTTTTTATATGTATATTTACAGCTTCCAGAGGCCCTTATTAGTCCTTGTTGACAGAAACATAGATTTGGCAACTCCTTTACATCATACTTGGACATATCAAGCATTGGTGCACGATGTACTGGTAAGAGACTAAATGCAGCACTTATTACTGAAATATAGTAACATGCAGTGTTCCCTTTAATTTAAAATTAACATCATGGCTACAGAAACAAAAATGAGAAGGATGGAACTGAGACCTATGAACAAAACAAGTGATGGGATTTGGTATTACTGGGTGTGGATGCTGGAAAATGTGAAGCATTAAAGTTTAGTTTCAAATTTATGATCTTTATAGGGTAAAGTAGTGGTTTTGTTGGCCATGGAAAAGAAGGAAAAGAAAACAATTGAAGAAAATGGATTATTTTGTTTTATTTTTAATTTTCTAACCGAATAAGTAAATAAATGTGTTCTCCCTTAGGAGAAAAGCAGTAATTTCTCCCTTTTCTCTGGGAGTCAGTTAAACCTCATTTTACGTTAAAAAAAAAATAGTATTTTTTATGTTACACCATATGTTTTCTGAAGTAATTCCACATATCTGATTTTATGCTTATAGCAAAAATTTGTATTTATGCATATGTAAATTTAGCTGCTAAGTGTTGTGTTTAGCATGTGACATACACAGGTGATAAAACACGGCTTCAGTCTTCAAAGACAATGGAAAGAAAATAGGTACACAAATAATTTCTCTATGAGACACTATGTAATCAGGCCAGAATAGTCTCTATTTGATAGACAGACGTTAAAGAATTTGAACTCAAATCATGGGCTTTGTTAAAACTAACACTGTAGTTTACTAACTCCTAGCTCAGGACTCTAGGGATTACACTATATAATCATATCATGATAGTAAAGACTGCCCAACATGTCATATAAACAGGGAATGAAAGCTGAGTGTAGTGGCTCATGCCTATAATCCCAGCACTTTGGGAGGCCAAGGCAGGCGGATCACATGAGGCCAGGAGCTAAAGACCAGCCTGGCCAACGTGGCGAAATCCTGTCTCTATTGAAAATACAAAAATTAGCCAAGCGTGGTGGCACACGCCTGTAATCCTAACTATTTGGGTGGCTGAGGCTTGAGAATTGCTTGAACCCAGGAGGCGGAGGTTGCAGTGGGCCAAGATTGTGCCACTGCACTCCAGCCTGGGTGACAGAGCAAGACCTAGTCTCAAAAAAAAAAAAAAAAGGAAATGAAAGACATGCAATAGATGATTTGGTTTATTTCTTTAAAACCTGGATATTGGCTCTAAAGTGTTTATTTAAATAAATCAGATTTAGAATTACTGATGGAAATTGGCCATTCTTCTATGCCATGACTCTAGGATGAGTGTCGAAGAAATAGCAGTCAACTTTAATTCAGTAGACAGGGCAAGAAGAATCAAAGGGACTCTTAAATTAAACCCTAAGTAGTAGAACATGGAATCAGGCTTTAGGAGGTCAAGTAAGAGGTGGGAGAGGAGGAATTCAGTTCTACCAATATTTGAGTGCCTACTCTTTAACACACTTTCTAAACCCTGGCTTCAATAGTAACAAAAACAATAGCTTTCCTGTCTTTCTAGAGCTTACATTCTAGTAGGGGAAACAGGCAATAAAGAAAATAAAACTTGCAGCATTTCAGAAGGTGGAAGATACCCTGAAAGACAGTAAAGTAGATAATGGTGAACAGGAGTGAAATTTTAAAACAGGGAAGTTCTCACTGATAAAATGACATTTGAGTAAAGATCTAAAGGAGGTAAGGTAGTGAATTATATAGCTATGTGGGAAAAGAACATAAGCAGAAGGATGACTAATATGTTTGGAAAATGGCAGGGCAGCCAGATGGCTACAATGAAGAGAGGCAGGGGAAGAGAAGCAGGAGAAAAGGTTAAATAAATAGGACCCAGGAAGCAATATAATACAGGACTCTAGGGATTATAGTATATGATTGTATTGTGATTGTAAAGGCCATTGACTTTAATTTGATGGAAATGGGGAACCACATGGGATTCTAATATACATTTGAAGACTGTCACTCTAGCTGTTATACTGAAAATGGACTCCTTGGGGGCACAGGAAGAGCAAGATCGGTTAGGAGGCTGTTGCAGTTATCTTAGCTGAGATGATAGCAGCTTATAGCAGGACAGAAATGGTAAGGGCTGTGTTTTTTATACTGACTGTAGAGTATAGGATTTGCTGATAAGTTAGATGTGGGAGTTAGATGTAGAGAGAGAGAGAACTCAAAGATGACTCCAAGGTTTTAGCCTTTGCAAATGGCAAGACGTTGTTGTTTAGTGGGATGGAAAAGGCAGTTTCCCCAGGGAAGATCAGATGTTTAGTTTTGGGTATGTTAAATGTGAGATGCCGGCCAGGCATGGTGGCTCATACCTGTAATCTCAGCACTTGGGGAGGCCAAGGCAGGAGGATCACGTGGGCCCAGGAGTTCAAGACCAGCCTGGCAACATAAGGAAGCACCATCTTTACAAAAAATAAAAATTAGTGACTTGTGGTGGCACACCTACTCAGGAGGCTTAGGTGGGAGGATCAGTTGATCCCCAACAGGTTGTGGCTACTACAGTGAACTGTGATCACATCACTGTCCTCCAGCCTGGGTAACAGAGTAAAGACCCTGTCTCAAAAAAAAAAAAATGAGGTGCCCATTAAGATATCAAAATGTAAATGTTGAGTAGGTAGTTACATGAGTCTGGAGTTCAGGAAAAAAGTCTGGTCCTCAGCCTCCCAAAGTGCTGAGATTACAAGCATGAGCCACTGCACCCGGACAGAAAATATTTTTAAATGACGGAAATTACAACATGTTTGTATACTAATGGGAATGATCCAAACAGCGAAGTTAATGATGCAGGAGATAAGAGCGTCCTGCAGGTGGCATTAGTGAGCACTGTGGACCAGGATTTCTCAACCTTGGCATTATTGACGTTTTGGACCTGATCATTCTTTGTTGGGGGGCAGGGGGAGCTGTCCTGTGCATTGTAGGATGTTTAGCATCATTCCTGGCCTTGACTCTCTAGGTGCCAGTGGAACTCCCTCAGTTGTGACAATCAAAACGTCTTACACACGCCAATTATACCCCGGGTGGCAGAAAGGGGCAAAATTGCCCAATTGAGAACCATGGTTACAGGCTGACAACATGAGTTTCAAAGCTAGTTTTAGGAAAGAGGGCAAGTAAAGAGTCTGGGAGTAGCAAGGAAGACACCTAATTCCAGTCTCAGATCCAGTGGTATGAGCTGTGAGAGGTTAAAGAAAAAAAAAAATCAGGTTCCCATTTGAGAAGGCTCCAGGGGTTAGCCAGTTGGAGTTCAATTAGAGCAAGAAAGAACAGGGAAAGTTTAGAGAGGATGTTCAGAATAGGAGATTTTGCTGATGACTGAGTATGGGTTCCAGAAGTGATGACAGGATTTCTAGAGTAGGGTAAGAATAGGAGATGGGGTCTCAGTGGGATTGGAGGTTAAAGAGTTGTACAGGGATTAATGGGCATAATAAGATAGTATTGGTAGTCTCAAATCATATTTGGTTGGTGGGGCCCTTACTGTTGGGTAGGAGCAAGGGGCAAGTGTCTTAATAAGAGCATAGCATACAGATCACGGGTGCCTCATCACACCTGCCAGTGGTGTTGGTGTTAAGGCAATCTAAAACACCGAGATGTCTAGGGATCCTTTCCAATTCTTGAACTTTAAGAGTCCCTGGGCTCCCTCTTCATTCCCCTGGATGGAGGAAATTAAAGTACAGGGTGCTTTGAGTACAGGAGATAAGACACATGTACAAATAATTGCAACATAAAAAGGGTAGACTCAGTCTCCATTGTCAGAAGAGGAAATTGGGAAATATAACTTAGGGCAGAGATTCCCTAAAACCAAACAAGGATAATACTGGTCCTTGATGAGGTTTTCACTGTTTCAGAATGAGATGAGAATAAAAAGGACTATGAAATGTGTTTTTATACTGGCCTTTATACAATTTTTATTTCCTACTATTTGAAGTGAAAATATCCTTTTAAAAATAAAAGGTGGTGAAAGTAGATGGTAGAGTTTTTTTGTTTAATCTTCACATAAAAAGTTGGGAATCTTTGAAGAGGTTGGTTATAATTAACTATGCAACTTAAAATGACTTAATTCTGTTTATTAATCTTAATGCAGTTTCTGGATATGAACAAACTATAACTGAGATGTCATAAATTATAATCACAAAAATTTTTGTTGATTGCTAAACCTGCTACTTTTGAAGGTCTTCAGAGCTTTTAAAACGCTTAATAATTATACCCTTTGCCTCCACAAGATGGAGTAAGTAAATAGTAAATGTTAACTTAAAATTGCAGTTTACTTTTTATATTAAATGTCTTTGCCTGAAAATCTGCACCATTGATAATTGTTTATATATTAGAACTTACAAACAACTATGAAAATTCACACAGCTTCCCTCTGTGTCAGAAAGATGATTTTTCTCATTTTAAACGGGAAATACACACTTCTGGTTAAAAAAAAAAAGAAAAAGCAACTTTGCAGTGCCCATCTCCTTTTATTGGGATATAAGAAGCAAAATTAGTAATTAGAAGCCCTGATTCTTTTTTATTATATCTTGGTTGCAGGAGAGGTGGATTTGATTGTTCAGCTGCAGAGCTGTGGACTTCAGTCAAAGGGATGGACATTATTTTATCTCTGTTTTTTTACTTGGCCTTTATTTTTTCAAATCTTAGGTTCTCTTTTTGTACCTTTCACCCTCTGCTACTGACTCTTATTATTTGAAACATTAAATCGGAAGTTATACTAATAGACATAGGGACTTTAATTAAAGTTTACCTTTTTTTCCAGTCAAGAATAAAAAAAAAATGGTTTCCAAATAAATATGTATTTTTTAAAAGGTTGTAAGAGAAGCATTTTTTTTATTTTTTATTTTATTTATTTATTTATTTTTTTGAGATGGAGTCTTGCCCCGTCGCCCCGGCTGGAGTGCAGGAGTGCGATCTCGGCTCACTGCAACCTCTGCCTACCAGGTTCGAGCGATTCTCCTGCCTCAGCCTCCTGAGTAGCTGGGACTACAGGCATGTGCAACCATGCCCGGCTAATTTTTGTATGTTTAATAGAGATGGGGTTTCGCCATGTTAGCCAGACTGCTCTAGAATTCCTGACCTCAGGTGATCCACCTGCCTCAGCCTCCCAAAGTGCTGGGATTACAGGCGTGAGCTAACGCACCTAGCTAAGATTATAGCTAATGCACCTAGCTAAGGTTATAAGAGAAGCACTTCAGGAACACCTATTTCCTTAAAGACGTGTGATTGCAATGTAACAGGTGCCTAGATATAGTTCAAGATTGATGCTTTGGGTCCAAGGTTGACATTCTTTGATCCTCTAATCTTTATTAACACAAAACCTCTTGGTCAGCACTATGTAGCCTAATTTCAAGCATTTGCCTAAAAGTCAAAAGTGTAATGTAAACTTTTACTCATTTAATCCAAGCAAATATATATTTTACTGTACTTGATAGGAAGTGTCTACTGAAGGTCTGTAGGCTATGTAAAAGCCCAAAAGATATCCCTGATTTCATTCACTTTTTAAAAATAGCAGTGTTTCAGTATATCTCCATATTTGTTGCTGTGTCTGAACTTGGATTGAATTTTTATTTAATCTAAGGGAGAAAAAGAGTATGTACTATTTACTGATCTAACTGTAGCTGCTATAGTTTTTTTTTTTTTTTTTGCCTTATATTCTAGTTGTATAACATTTGTCTATATGATGGAACATTTTACAAAGTTTTAATAATATATTTTATAATCAAATATATTCAAAATATTTGCATTTCAACATAATATAGGATCATGTAATCAATTAATAATTTAAGATATTAGATGTTTTCTTTTCATATTTAAGTCTTATATATTTTACATTTACATCACATCTCAATTCAGACTAACCACATTGAAGGTACTCAGTAGCCACCTGTGACTATTGGCGACTGTATTGGACAGTGCAATTCTAAATCATAAGACCCAAATTCTTTACTACTTTTAGAGATTGAATGAATTGCTTATGAGTTGAAATTATCACATGAAGACTGGTAGAAATGTTTGCATATGGCCGGCAATGTATCTGGTGGGTGGGAGGGTTCCAGCTCATGAGTCCTAGGGTTGTAAACAGCTCTGCTTTAATAAAAATGAACAAGCTTCCCAAATATATTGCTGATGCTGTAAAGAATACCTTGGCCTCTGAATTAAGATAGGTTAGGTTGTGCTACTTAGTCTAACCCTCTAACCTCAGTGGCATAAAATAATAAAGATTTTTTTTTCTTGGTCATAGTATTTATTGTTCCTTGTCCAGTATGGATGAGCAAAACGATTGTGGGTTGTACTTCATATTTTTAGGTTCTGGTATGAATAAAATTTTTTAAACTTTTACTAGGGAATATTTCAAATAACACAAATACAGAGAATACTGTAATGAACTCATGTTTACATTGTTCAGCTTCCCTGGTATTATATGATCTAAGCATGAATACTTCAGCATGTATCTATTTTTTAAAGTTATAATTTTACGCAACAAAATTAATGATAATTTCCTGGTGATATACCCGCTCTGTATTGATTGTTTCAAAGATGCTTCTTTACAGTTGGCTTGTTCAAATAAGGATCCAGAAATACATCTATACATGGCATTAGTTGATATGGCTCTTAAATCTCTCAGTTCCTCCCTCCTCACTTCTTTTTAATTGCCATTTTTTGATTGAAAGAATTAGGTCATTTTTCTATAGAATTTCCTACATTTTGGCATTTGGCTGATTGTATCCTTTTGTATTCCCGATACTTTCTGTAAACTAATTGATTGTGGAAATTGATTAGATCTCATTCAATTCTTTGTCAAGGCCACTTTAACTAGCAGTGTTCTTTAGTTTCTGTTTTATTACATCAGGAGGTACATAATGTCTGTTTGTCCTAATGTTAGTGAACAGATTGATCAGTAGTTTCAGGTATTGTCAGCATGATCCATCCATTAAGGGTTCTCCATAAATCTTTTACCTAAAGGTTTAAATGTCACTGATAATTATTGCCTCTTTATTTTAATTACTGATGGCAAATGGTGATTTTCTGTTATTCCTCCTCCATCTTTTTAGCCAACATGCTTATATAAATAACTTTTTTTTTTTATCACCTACTTAGGACAAATGCTTGTCTTCCTTTGTCAATTTTCAGAATTAGTGAGTACCCTAGTAATTTGCAGAGACAATCAATAAAGTCATTTGTTTAAGTATCATTTTATGAACTAACAGATTTTTATATTTGAGATGTTTTTACACTATTACAGTTGTTCATTTTGATGCTTGAATTATCTCGTTTTTGGCCTATCATGTTGGCCTTGATAGCTTCTTGACATAACCCCATCAGTCTTTGATAGTTTCTTTGCTTCCTGGTATGAAAAATATCCTAAGCTAATCATATTCATTTTCTGCCTCAGACCTGGCTGCATCCGTTTCTCAAAAAGCCTCTGGTTCCTTTGAGTAACAAATAGTGGATACCACAGTCTGGGCTATTAGCGCTGTTTATTTCTACTGGGATACTTTTGCTTCCAGACATTTTCCATGGCGAAAAAGACAGCATCTTCCAGTTTTCTCATTCTCTGAGATTAAAGAACCCATTTTTTTAATAACAAGTAGCATTGTGAAATTGTAAAATTACATTAGTGACTGTTGACTTTGCACACAATTTGAAAGCATCAATGGAAGGCTGAGTCTTCCTGTTTCTTCCTAACAAACATGTTTTAATCCTTGCTCTACTCGAGTTTCGTTTGAGAGACTGATTTGTGTGAACCAAAGAAACCAGATGACTGTTATGTAAAGCAGAAAATATTTGGATTTAAATTGTTAGATGGATTAAAACCACATATCATCACCATGACTGGGAGTTTTGTTTCTTCAGCCACTCAGGACAGCTGTGCCATTATAAATTTACATTTATATCATTTTAGCTAGAAGCCCATCTTAATATATATGTATCTGTTGTAGAGTGATGGATGTCAAATAACATCTGATGTGTAACTCGTTCTCTAGAGTAAAGCTTCTGATCTCTTCTCATTGAGTTCCATAGTTATCCATGCTCTTTGAGGGTAGGAAATTGTTTATTGGTTGTGTATAATTGATGTCTCCGTAAGAAATAGAATTACAGTCTCTAGGAGCTTCTGTAAATTGTGTCGTTAGAGGCATTATCACCACTTTATCAAATGTTGAACAGAAACTGGTTTTGAAGCATTTAGGAAGAGTAGAAATAAGTTTTAAACTCCCTTTTGCTTAGGTGTCTAGTCTTTAACATTTTCTCTTGTGGAAATTAGTTTTAGGGATGAGCTTTGAAAAATAAATTTTTCACATAATGCTTTAATTTTCCCTAAATCCAATTGAAACTGTTATAGGTATTGAAACCCTGATATATTAGTCTGTTGATTTATCTTATGAAGGCAATGATCCTTATTCCTGTCTTAGAATTCTATCTTCTGTTTAATATATTAAAGATCATATTTTGTCTTTTACCCACCTTTGGCAAAAAGTGATGAAACTCACAGCTTTTATTTTACAATTAAAATCTTAAGTATGAAAGAAATAATTGTGATTTACAGGAGGAATATTTGCCTGCTTTAGAGAAAATACACACAAATGTATTCATGTGCATTAAACATTTTCTTTATCATTTCTTCTCTCATTGGTGTCAACCCTATTCCCCAAACTATTTAACTCCTAAGATGAAGATTTTCTCCAGAGAAAATGCTTCTTTTTGGAGATGAGAATTCTCCCTAGGTTTGTGTGCAAGGATGAGACAATATAGGTGTGCTCATCTTCAAATGACTGATGGGACATTTCTTTAATGTAGGCGAGGATGGAAGCCAAAGCTGTGGAAGATGTTGGTGGAGCCAATGGGTAGTTTCCTTTCCTCTTCCTCACATCCCTTAGTTCTGTTCACTTCCATCGTTATCAAGAAGTATTTATATGTGTTCCCTAGTTTTAAATAGATTCTCCCTTGTATTTTATTTCTCTTGTTGGTTAATTTGATAGTGGAAGTTGAAGACTCACCTTAGTGTGTCACCTCAATATGAAAATTCTGGCATTGTGTTTATGACTCCAAAGTACATCTGTTGAAACAATAGATGTTTAATGATTGCTGTAATAGCATTTAGAGTTGAGATAGTAAATTCTTGCCAAAATAAAAGATATTTTTATTTTACTTTCCTTTTCTTTGCCTGTGAACTGCAAGTCTGCATAAATAGGTATTGCCTATATTATCCAGAGATTATTTTGTTAACATTAACTCTCTCTGGCTCTACTGATTGCTCTAACTTGGGAAAAGAAAACAAGACTGCTGAAGGCTTCTACATGTTTTTAGCATTTCCTGATGGGATCTATTTATATGTAGTGATTTGGGGCACCTTTGTCCTATCTTCTAAGTTAGGAAAATGTGACTGTCAATGGAAACAGATTAGACTCTATCATGTTAAAACTAATTCTGTTGTCTTATTTGTGTATAAACGTTCAGTTGCTTTAACATGATTGAGTACAGCACAGGATGTTTTAATTTCCTAACTTGGAAGATTGAAATTACCTTTATTTGCCTTACTATTATGCAAACAATGGAAATATCCTTGCTATTAAATTACTTCTCAGAATTCTTAACATCTTTTATTCCTTTATTATTTTGTGTTTTAAGTATTCCATCAATACTTCAGTAATAACATGCTTTCCTACTTTTAGAGCAGTAATTTTGCTAGCAAGTTAACTTTATTTTGAATGAGCTGTGTCATCACCATGGAAATAGTACTTCACTAGAAATTCTAGTTAATAAAACTTAACTGTTTAAAGATGTTTCTCTTCAATATCTTTTATTTTGTTAGATAGTTTTTTAAATCTAAGGTTCTTTCCAGATGTAGCTGTTACTGTTTAAAATAGTTTTCCACAATTGTGCTATTTTTACTTTCTCTCTATATGGATGATTTTTGTGCAAAGTGAAGTTTAGATACGAGGATGGGAAACTGAGAGGATTAAGTAAAGTCACTTTCTTGCCCTATGATAATATGAGGGGTCTATAGGAAAAACAGTAATAGAGTGAAATATACTAAACTTTCGTCATTCCAACCATTTATTGTAACTCTCTAGTCTTTAAATTGCCTATTTTTCACCTGAGGCTACCCATGTTCTGCACTACAGGGAATTTCAAGTGATAGAATCTAATTCCACTCACTCTGTTCTCACTGTGATACAACTAAAACATAATGCTTAAAAGCACTGCCTCTGAAGTCAGACTGCCTAGATTTTAATCTTGATTCTGCCACATATTTATGTATAACTTTGGACAATTAACTTCTTTATGCCTCAGTTTTTTCATCTTGAATGGGAATTTTATTACTGCTTCTACAGGTTATTGTAAGGATCAAATGACTTAATATAAGGTGCTAAGAATAGTGCCTTGCAAATGAAAGATAGCCATGCTTCTGAACAAAAGGCAGCAGAAACTTCTGCAGACTTAAACGTCCCTGTCTGACAGCTCTGAAGAGAGCAGTGGTTCTCCTAGCATGGTGTTTGAGCTCTGAGAATGGACAGACTGCCTCCTCAAGTGGATCCCTGACCCCTGTGTAGGCTAACATGGAGACATCTCCCAGTAGGGGCTGACTGACACCTCATACACCCGGGCGCCCCTCTGAGATGAAGCTTCCAGAGGAAGGATCAGGCAGCAATATTTGTTGTTCTGCAACATTTGCTGTTCTGCAGCCTCCGCTGGTGATTACCCAGGCAAACAGGGTCTGGAGTGGACCTCCAGCAAACTCCAACAGACCTGCAGCTGAAGGACCTGTTAGAAGGAAAACTAACAAGCAGAAAGGAATAGCATCAACCTCAACAAAAAGGACATCCACACCAAAACTGCATCTGTAGGTCACCATCATCAAAGACCAAAGGTAGATAAAACCACAAAGATTGGGAGAAAACAGAGCAGAAAACCTGGAAATTCTAAAAACCAGAGCGCCCCTTCTTCTCCAAAGGATTGCAGCTCCTCGCCAGCAACGGAACAAAGCTGGACGGAGAATGATGAGTTGACAGAAGTAGGCTTCAGAAAGTCGATAATAACAAGTTTCTCCAAGCTGAAGGAGGATGTTTGAACCGGTCACAAGGAAGCTAAAAACCTTGAAAAAAGATTAAAAGAATGGCTAACTAGAATAAACAGTGTAAAGAAGACCTTAAATGACCTGATGGAGCTGAAAACCATGGCACGAGAACTACGTGATGCATGCACAAGCTTCAGTAGCCAATTCGATCAAGTGGAAGAAAGAGTATCAATGATTGAAGATCAAATTAACGATATGAAACAAGAAGAGAAGTTTAGAGAAAAAAAGAGTAAAAAGAAATGAACAAAGCCTCCAAGAAATGTGGGACTATGTGAAAAGACCAAATCTGCGTTTGATTGGTGTACCTGAAAGTGACAGGGAGAATGGAACCAAGTTGGAAAACACTCTTCAGGATATTATCCAGGAGAACTTCCCCAACCTAGCAAGACAGGCCAACATTCAAATTCAGGAAATACAGAGAACACCACAAAGATACTCAAGAAGAGCAACCCCAAGACACATAATTGTCAGATTCACCAAGGTGAAATGAAGGAAAAAATGTTAAGGGCAGCCAGAGAGAAAGGTTGGGTTACCCACAGAGGGAAGCCCATCCGACTAACAGTGGATCTCTCAGCAGAAACTGTACAAGCAAGAAGAGAGTGGGGGGCAATATTCAACATTCTTAAAGAAAAGAATTTTCAACTCAGAATTTCATATACAGCCAAACTAAGCTTCAGAAGTGAAGGAGAAATAAAATCCTTTACAGACAAGCAAATGCTGAGAGATTTTGTCACTACCAGGCCTGCCTTACAAGAGCTCCTGAAGGAAGCACTAAACATGGAAAGGAACAACCAGTACCAGCCACTGCAAAAACATGCCAAATTGTAAAGACCATAGATGCTAGGAAGAAACTGCATCAGCTAATGGGCAGAATAACCAGCAAATATCATAATGACAGGATCAAATTCACACATAATAATATTAACCTTAAACATAAATGGGCTAAATACCCCAATTAAAAGACACAGACTGGCAAATTGGATAAAGAGTCAAGACCCATCAGTGTGCTGTATTCAGGAGACCCATCACATGTGCAGAGACACACAAAGGCTCAAAATAAAGGGATGGAGGAAGATCTACCAAGCAAATGGAAAGCAAAAAAAAGCAGGGGTTGCAATCCTAGTCTATGATAAAAGAGACTTTAAACCAACAAAGATCAAAAGAGACAAAGAAGGCCATTACATAATGGTAAAGGGATCAATTCAACAAGAAGAGCTAACTATTGTAAATATATATGCACCTAATACAGGAGCAAAACAAGATTCATAAAACAAATCCCAGATTCACAAAACAAGTCCTTAGAGACCTACAAAGAGACTTAGACTCCCACACAATAATAATGGGAGACTTTAACACCCCACTGTCAATATTAGACAGATCAACGAGACAGAAGGTTAACAAGGATATCCAGGAATTGAACTGAGCTCTGCACTAATAGACATCTACAGAACTCTCCACCCCAAATCAACAGAATATACATTCTTCTCAACACCACATCACACTTATTCCAAAACTGACCACATAGTTGGTAGTAAAGCACTCCTCAGCAAATGTAAAAGAACAGAAATCACAACAAACTGTCTCTCAGACCACAGTGCAATCAAACTAGAACTCAGGATTAAGAAACTTACTCAAAACCGCACAACTACCTGGAAACTGAACAACCTGCTTCTGAATGACTAATGGGTAAATAACGAAGGCAGAAATAAAGATGTTCTTTGAAACCAATGAGAACAAAGACACAACATACCAGAATCTCTGGGACACATTTAAAGCAGTGTGTAGAGGGAAATTTATAGCACTAAATGCCCACAAGAGAAAGCGGGAAAGACCTAAAACTGACACCCTAACATCACAGTTAAAAGAACTAGAGAAGCAAGAGCAAACACATTCAAAAGCTAGCGGAAGGCAAGAAATAACTAAGATCAGAGCAGAAATGAAGGAGATAGAGACACAAAAAACCCTTCAAAAAAATCAATGAATCCAGGAGCTGGTTTTTTGAAAAGATCAACAAAATTGATAGACTGCTAGCAAGACTAATAAAGAAGAAAAGAGAGAAGAATCAAATAGACGCAATAAAAAATGATAAAGGGGATATCATCACTGATCCCACAGAAATACAAACTACCATCAGAGAATACTATAAACACCTCTATGCAAATAAACTAGAAAATCTAGAAGAAATGGATAAATTCCTGGACACATATACCCTCCCAAGACTAAACTGGGAAGAATTTGAATTGCTGAATAGACCAATAACAGGCTCTGAAATTGAGGCAGTAATCAATAGCCTACCAACCCAAAAAAAAAGTCCAGGACCAGGTGAATTCACAGCTGAATTCTACCAGAGATACAAAGAGAAGCTGGTACCATTCCTTCTGAAACTATTCCAGTCAATAGAAGAAGAGGGAATCCTCCCTAACTCATTTTATGAGGCCAGCATCATCCTGATACCAAAGCCTGGCAGAGACACAACAAAAAACGAGAATTTTAGACCAATATCCCTGATGAACATCAATGCGAAAATCCTCAATAAAATACTGGCAAAGCAAATCCAACAGTACATCAAAAAGCTTATCCACCACAAACAAGTTGGCTTCATCCCTGGGATGCAAGGCTGGTTCAACATATGCAAATCAATAAACATAATCCATCATATAAACAGAACCAAAGACAAAAACCACATGATTATCTCAATAGATGCAGAAGAGGCCTTCGACAAAATTCAACAGCCCTTCATGCTAAAACCTCTCAATAAATTAGGTATTGATGGAACGTATCTCAAAATAATAAGACCTATTTATGACAAACCTACAGCCAATATCATACTGAATGGGCAAAAACTGGAAGCATTCCCTTTGAAAACTGGCACAAGACAGGGATGCCCTCTCTCACCACTCTTATTCAACATAGTGTTGGAAGTTCTGGCCAGGGCAGTCAGGCAAGAGAAAGAAATAAAGGGTATTCAATTAGGAAAAGAGGAAGTCAAATTGTCCCTGTTGGTAGATGACATGATTGTATATTTAGAAAACCCTATTGTCTCAGCCCAGAATCTCCTTAAGCTGATAAGCAACTTCAGCAAAGTCTCAGGATACAAAATCAATGTGCAAAAATCACAAGCATTCTTATACGCAAATAACAGACAAAGAGCCAAATCCTGAGTGAACTCCCATTCACAATTGCTACAAAGAGAATAAAATACCTAGGAATTCAACTTACAAGGGATGTGAAGGACCTCTTCAAGGAGAACTACAAACCACTGCTCAACGAAATAAAAGAGGACACAAACAAATGGAAGAACATTCCATGCTCATGGATAGGAAGAATCAATATCGTGAAAACGGCCATACTGCCCAAGGTAATTTATAGATTCAATGCCATCCCCATCAAGCTACCAATGACTTTCTTCACAGAATTGGAAAAAAACTAAAGTTCATATGGAACCAAAAAAGAGCCCGCATTGCCAAGTCAATCCTAAGCAAAAAGAACAAAGCTGGAGGCATCACACTACCTGACTTCAAACTATACTACAAGGCTACAGTAACGAAAACAGCATGGTACTGGTACCAAAACAGAGATATAGACCAGTGGAACAGAACAGAGGCCTCAGAAATAACACCACACATCTGCAACCATCTGATCTTTGACAAACCTGACAAAAACAAGAAATGGGGAATGGGTTCCCTATTTAATAAATGGTGCTGGGAAAACTGGCTAGCCATATGTAGAAAGCTGAAACTGGATCACTTCCTTAAACCTTATACAAAAATTAATTCAAGATGGATTAAAGACTTAAATGTTAGACCTAAAACCATAAAAACCCTAGAAGAAAACCTAGGCAATACCATTCAGGACATAGGCATGGGCAAGGACTTCATGACTAAAACACCAAAAGCAATGGCAACAAAAGCCAAAATAGACAAATGGGATCTAATTAAACTAAAGAGCTTCTGCACAGCAAAAGAAACTACCATCGGAGTGAACAGGCGGCCTACAGAATGGGAGAAAATTTTTACAATCTACCCATCTGACAAAGGGCTAATAACCAGAATCTACAAAGAACGTAAACAAATTTACAAGAAAAAAATCAAACAACCCCATCAAAAAGTGAGCGAAGGATATGAACAGACACTTTTCAAAAGAAGACATTTATGCAGCCAAAAGACACATGAAAAAATGCTCATCGTCACTGGTCATCAGAGAAATGCAAATGAAAACCACAATGAGATACCATCTCACACCAGTTAAAATGGTGATCAGTAAAAATTCAGGAAACAACAGGTGCTGGAGAGGCTGTGGAGAAATAGGAACGCTTTTACACTGTTGGTGGGAGTGTAGACTAGTTCAACCATTGTGGAAGACAGTGTGGTGATTCCTTAAGGATCTAGAACTAGAAATACCATTTGACCCAGCAATCCCATTACTGGGTATGTAGACATCTGTAATTTTTCAAATCCTGCTTTTTATGTCAAAGAGAAAAATGGCAAGGAAATAAACTATTATAAAAGATTTATTTGAGAAAGTTACAAGGTTTATGTTAAGGACCTAGAGTCAGTATTGATAACCTTGTTTTATCTAAAGGAGACTGAATTGCATTCAGTATATTTAATTTGCTAAGACCTAGAATAATCATTAATTCAAAATATATACAGATACCTTAGAACTAAGATAATTATATTTCAGTCATGCTGGATAATTTCTCCATACTGTGTCTTCCTTCTTCATCAATCATTTACTTGTTGATAGTCATGTTTTATCTTTCACTATTCTTTAGTTGGCATTAAACCATAAAATGCTGCTATTTGTGAGGGAACCCATAGATGTAATGCAAGAAGTTGGGGGAAAGAAAAAAGATACTTACTTTTATTTTTGCCTAATGGTTTTTGTGGGTTTGGTTTGGTTTGGTTTTGGGTTTTGGGGGGTTTTTTGGTTTTTTTTACAGAAAAGGTACAAAAATCAAGCCTCACGTGAATAAAATTAGTCCTAGGCAAGAAAGTTTAGCCACTACTGGCCTGACTCTTAAAGTTTGTGTGAAAGAGGGGCATCACTTATTATTATAGCATCTATTGTAATTTTTAAAATTGCAGTTCATCACTCAAGTGACACATCAGAATGTTGACTCTCTAAGAGTTTAAAAATATTTAAGATAACATTTGTTACTGGAAATGACCAAGCATCAGGAGGCCTGGTTGCATAAGTTGATTTAGCCAAACATTGGACTACTGTGTAGTTATGATAAAGATGAAGTAAATGTACATATACAGATACAGAAAGAGCTGTAAAATGTATTATTAGATGAAAAAAGATATAACATGTACCCTGTAATCCCATTTTAAAAAATAAAATTAAGAGGATGTGTATGTGCTATTATATGCATCAATGTTTTTCTAGAAGGATACACAAGCATATTGACATGTTTTTCTCTTTTTCTTGTTTGAAATTTTAATATACATCTAATACTTTCATTAAAATACAGAAACAAAATTACATTTGTATGTAACAAAAGATTGGGAGGAGATGTTTTAAATTTCAGATCTATATTTTGTCCTTGGAAACATTAGAAAGGGCAACAAGATTCTATTTTTATTAGACTTAGAAAACAGTTGTTTAACACAAGATTACTTTTTCCTAGGATTTCCATTTAAACAGGGTTAATTTGGAAGAATCTTCAGGAGTGGAAAACTCTCCAGCTGGTGCTAGACCAAAGAGAAAAAACAAGAAGTCTTATGATTTAACTCCGGTTGATAAATTTTGGCAAAAACATAAAGGAAGGTAAGCAAAATATCAATAAGTAAAAGATTCATTTTTTTAAAGAGAAATTAAGGTGTCATCCACCTTAATGAATTTGAGAAAAAAAAGGGTCATGTAGGTTCGTTCACCCAATGAGTGGGGGCTGTAATTAGATAGTCTGTAGATATTTGTCTTTATTTCTCCATTTCTCACTGATTCCTAAGTTGTTTTTTGTTCATTGTTGTTTTATAGGGACCGCTTCTCCTTTCAATGAGATCATCCTATACAGATAGTCTTTTTCAATTTTGTTGCTGTCTCCACTGACTCTATAAGACCATCTCTGCCTTTCATTTAAATTGGCTTTTGTGATTTTGGGGGTGATTTTTTCCTTTTTGTTACATGTTGCCCTCATGTAAACCTTGTTTTAGATACTTGTGGAGAGAGTACCTAAGCCTAAAAGCCTAGAAATTTATTCAAAGTACATTAGAAATAATGAGTGATAAAACTGCATTAATTTGCCATGTGATTTACTGTGGGCAGATATACATATCCCATGTGATGCTATGCCCCCTTAAAGTTTAGGGTACTTCATGGGCTCAGTTACTGCTATAAAAGTTATCTAGTGATCATTATGGCTAGAGCCATCATTCTAAACAAACAAAAATATTATTCCTCAGAGAAAAAGAATACTGTTCATCAACAATTATGAAAATATGATTTTTAAAAAATATTTCAAAATGTGTGTGTGTCCTTGATATAGCTGTTCTTTTTGGGCTTATATTTATTGTTTAAAGAGAAGTCGAATATAGACTTGGTTCAACATGCTGGGTTTTTAATATGCTTTATCTTTTTTTTACTTACAACTTTTTTTTAAGCTGGAAAATCAAATCGCCATAACAAAGATTTGACTTTCTCTGCAGAGAAAAGTCACTGTCTTTCTCTTTCTCACTATGGCAGTTTTAGGTACTATTTTAATTAATTTTAATAAATTTGATTTTAAATAATACTCTTCCCTTTGGAATTCCATAATCTACGTTTCCCTCCAGAATGGTGAAGTACAAGAAATTACTTTTATTAGAGAGGCATTATTTATAGAGAATACAGAATATTTTGAAGTTGGCATTCCCTAATAGAGAAAAGCTTAAGAAAAAAATCTCTGTATTCAAATATGGAAATTTTGAATTTTTTTAGAACATATGTTTAAGAACAATTTAAGAGGTCAGTTGAATAGTAAGAATTTTAACCTCCTATTCATTAAGTAGGAATAGCTCTTTTGCTCTGCATCTTACATACAATAGTAACATGGGCACAAAGACACTTGGAGATAGCATAAACAAGTGACCTAAACCTCTCTGAGCTTCAGTTTCCTCATCAGTAAAATAGGGAGATAATAATTCTACCTATTGCCCTATTTCAGAAGGTTGTTGAGAAGATTGAGATAATGAATTTAAAGGAGTAATTTGCCCAAGTCATCCAGCTTTCGTTGGTAAAGCCAGGGATGAAACCCAGGTCTTGCAGACCATAAAGCACCCAGTCTTAACATTGAATAGTTAAGTTATGATAGTTACCTCAACAGATTCATCAGGATTAAATGAGGTTGCAGTGAGCCGAGATCACGCCATTGCACTCCAGCCTGGGCAACAAGAGCAAAACTCCATCTTAAAAAAAAAAAAAAGAAAGAAAAGATAAATTCTTAGCATGGTGTTTGATGTATAGTAAAATCACTTAATAAATGTGAGCAATTATTCTCTGTTAACTCTGAGACCTAAAGATATCAGAGATTTTGAGGATTATCCAGTTCAACCCACACATTTTACAGATAAAGCTAGGGCCCTGAGAGGGTAAGAGCTTGCCTGTAAAGGAAGTTTCCATTATAATTAGATGGAACAAGGGTTTCTGACTCCCCAGTGCAATGCTGAGGCCTCAGTGCTATTTTTTGCCAACATAGACTCAACTGGAGCTGGAGTAAATGCCTGTGCTTGTGAGGTAAAATTGGACTGTGTTCCTCAGAATCCTTTCTGAGCTCCTGTCTTTTCTGCTAGTCTCCATTGGATAAAATGTGCTTGTTATTAGAGAGGTATTTTCAGATGTCAGAGCTGAGGAAGGGGGGAAAGGTTTTTGTTCACTGTTAATGAGACATGACCTTTTCTTTCTTAAAGGAGAAAAGGCTTCTGGCCTCCCCCTAGGCTGTAGATGAAAAATACTCATTTTAAGAAACATTTAATGATCAACATGTATTCACCTAGAGTTTGTCAAGATTAGTACAGTGTTTTCTACCTGAGTGCTCATGATTGCAGATCACTTCTGCCTAAAGTCTATGTAAGTTACTGCTAAACCACAATGTCCTGGTAGAAGACATCAGGTATTAGGCCACCAAAACTGTGGCCCAAGTGCTATTTTTACCAGTAGTGTTCTGGGATATTATGAGTTCTGAGTTACAAGAATTTTTTCACAGTTACTTGCAGGTGATATTTTTAAATGCTGTCTTTGTAGTTGCATGGACCCTTTGACATGACGTGTTAATTTGGATGGGAATATTTAATTGATATTTGATATAACATGACTTGTCTTCCATTGATTTTCAGTCATGTAAATATTTTACTTTTTCTTCTAAAAACGTATAAGTGAAGAGAATGTATGATACTGTTAATGAAAAATAGAAATGAAATTTAAATTTTAGATGTATATTATATGCATTTTAAAGAAATAGTATTATATAGATATCAGAAAGATATGTAGTTGTATTTGTGCTGAATCTTTTCTGCCTTTGTTATATATAACATATATTCAAATCCAAATAAGTATATTTAAAATAATAAATGTTCATTGTATATATTTTAGAATTTACACAAAAATTGGTCTTTTAATGTCATCCTCATAGTTCTTGTGCAATACTGTTTTAGTCCATTCCCAGAAGTTGCAGAATCAGTTCAGCAAGAACTAGAATCTTACAGAGCACAGGAAGATGAGGTCAAACGACTTAAAAGCATTATGGTAAGATTCTATTTGCTTTCTAAGAATTATAGGAAAGAGGAGGATTATCTGTTAGATAAAGAGATTTGGGTTTTTTTCCTTATAAAAATTGAAGGCCATTTAATGCTTTTATAACAAAAATATTTTCAACTTGCGTAAGTGATCAAAAAGAAATCTAAATATTGAGAAGAGAAAAAATAATATATGATTTGAAAAAATATATAATGTAGCATCATTTTAGAGATGTATGTTCCAATGCTGCTCATTCTACCATACTTCGATGTAACTTCAGATTTCAGCTCTACTGTTTATTGCTGTGTGACCTATGGCACGTCTCTGGGCCTGTCTCCTTATCCAAAAATGCCAGCTGATCATTTAGACATCTAACCATTAGACTGGCGATTACTAGAACTTTTATGTAACATTAAAATATATATGCTTGCACCTCAGAGGAGGAGAATTACTATTCTAGGTGACTTAAAAATCTTACGGTATATCAATAATCTTAGGATATTTGCTCCAATCTTAGGATGTGTTGATTTTTATGCTTGTGCCTGGGATTTTTGAGTAGCTATTGAGACCTTTTTTCTTTACAAGGGACTAGAAGGGGAAGATGAAGGAGCCATAAGTATGCTTTCTGACAATACCGCTAAGCTAACATCAGCTGTTAGGTAAGTGAGCAGTATATCCTCTTTGAAGTCTTTCTGTTGATAGGATTTTTTTTTTATTTAACTAAAAAATTGTTAATGTTTTTAACTAGTAGGAAACTGTAGGCAATAGCAAATATAACTTTGAATTTAAAGAACTAAATTGTATTTAGCTAAATGTTTAAGCCGATTTTAGTTCCCTCTTAGATATAGGAGATTATTCATTCTTTCACCAGTTAGAACTGTGTAATAGGGGTAATTTTATGAGGAAAATACTATTAATGATAAAGTAGGGCAAGCGATTATTAATTTTATTATAGATACTGTTTTCTTAACTAAAAGTTAAACAGTTTTTTCTGTACTTTGAATGCCATTAAGGAGGGAGGAGGCTGGGCGCGGTAGCTCACGCCTGTAATCCCAACACTTTGGGAGGCTGAGGCGGGCAGATCACAAGGTCAAGAGATTGAGACCATCCTGGCCAACATGGTGAAACTCCATCTCTACTTAAAAAAATAAATAAATAAATTAGCTGAGAGTGGTGGTGCACGCCTGTAGTCCCAGCTACTTGGGAGGCTAAGGCAGGAGAATCGCTTGAACCTGGGTGGCGGAGGTTGCAGTGAGCCGAGATAGCACCATTGCACTCCAGCCCAGGCGACAGAGACTCTGTCTCAAAAAAAAGAAGGAGGGAGGAAATGTGTTTTAGAAATACAGATAACGCATGTTTCCATTAATTTGATTTTATTTAAACCTCCAAAATTTGGAATCAGAAAGTAAAGTGATAGAAATAATGATATTTGGGAGCCAGATTATTTTAAAATAAGCATTTCACCTGTATTAATAAATACTGTAGGTGTTCAAGTCTAGAGATTAAATTAGTTGATAGTTTAATTCGTCATCTTGTTACTGTTTCACTGTTCTGAGTTTCCACAGGGGAAACACCAGGCATGAGATAAAGTCTATGTCATTTTAGAAAATTTATTGGTTAATATTTAATTTTTTGATACTTGCAGTTCTTTGCCAGAACTCCTTGAGAAAAAAAGACTTATTGATCTCCATACAAATGTTGCCACTGCTGTTTTAGAACATATAAAGGTAAATTTAACTTTTTCCCCCCCACAATATGACTTGCATTTACATAGGGTTTTATACTTTGTAAGATGCTTTAGTATTCATTATCTTATTGAGTCCCCACTGTAACATGAAGTATAATTATGGAAGACAGCAGTATTATAGTTATTTTTTTGCAAATAAAGTAACCTAGGAATCCAGAAAGATAAGTGATTTCCAAGGTCACATGTTTAGTAAATAGAAGTGGGAATCTATGATATTTCTATTATATTGCACTGCCTCAATATCACTGCTGTACATACTACTGTATTAATAGTAGACTTGTATCTCAGCATCAGTAATAGATTTGGAAATCTCTTTTACCAGAGTTCTATCTAAAATATCCATTAATAACATCACTTTTATTTATGTGACTTTGTTCTGAACTTTTTAAATTTAGAGAATCTGTTAACATTGAAGCTTCTTACTGTGTATCATTGAACTGTGATTTTGAAACAAGTATGTTGGGAGTTCTATATATTGTTATAGTTCTTTTTCTCATTACCGTGTTCATGATTGCCCCATTGTCAGCTTACTTAATCAGTCCTTCAGTATTCTGCTATTATTTGTTCTCCACACTTGGAGCTGAATTTCTGTGGCAGATTGACCATATGCTAAAACTTGGCTAATATTGACCCCTCCTTTCCATTTTATATGATGCATTTGAAACTGTTTAAAAAGCTGAATATAATTGCTGGCTGTCAGAGAAGTTGATAACACCTGGGATTTATTGAGAAGGTACTTAAAGGTATTATTTAAATAATTTTAAAAGCCACAAAAGCATTAGAAAGGCACTAACATAGATAATGGGCAGCATGCAGTTTAAACCTGCATAATTACTATTACGCCAACAACCTAATTTTTTTCTTTGTTTCACATCTTGGTACTTGATATTTTTCAGGTTCATACAGGAATAGAAACAGAACTGCAGTCTGTAGGTGATTCTGCTGATGTTTTCACTTCTATATGTAGTGTCTCTGTGAAATGGCAAAAGGCTGTTCAGATCTGTTTACCTGAGGTCATTGTCTCTTGTGGAGGTGATACAGATACAGATATAGATGTATAGATATATCACCAGGTGAAATACAACAGAGAGCTATATTGAGAATTTCCTTCAGGTCGGAGACTAGAACTTATAGTTTGAGAAAATTTTGGTTAATTTACTTATTCAATCATGTTTATTGAGTGGCTCTATGTATATTGTACTAGGCCCTGAAGATACTGTAGTAAACAAGACAGACAAGTTCTCTGTTCTCTTGAAGCTTATATTGTAGTGACAGTAAACAGAGTAAGCAAATTAGAAAACAAGTTAACTTCAGGCATTTTAGTGACATGAGAACAACAAAAACAGCAGGGTGATGTGAGGCAATGGGATATGAGAATGGCTGAGAGGCCTACTCTGGAGTAAGTCTGCAAGTGAAATCACCTTTGATGAGGTGATGTTTGAGTTGAGACAGGAATCACAGAAAGGAGCCAATTAGTGAAGATCTCAGGGCCAACCATGCCAGGCAGAGGGAATAAGAAGTGCAAAGGCCCTACGACAAACAAATTCGGTATGTTTGAGAACCTAGAAAAAGACAAATTGTGCTTTATTGAGGAGGGAAAGAGTGATGGTAGAATATGGAATCAAAAAAAGTAGAAATTTAAGTATGATAACTCATTAGAGGTTAATGACATGATCTGATTTATGTTTTAAAATAAAGAAGACTGTGGAGGATAAGGGACAATGAGTTCTGGAAATAAAAGTGGAACTGGAAGACAACTATTATAGATGTGTAGGTGAAAAATGATTTATAAGACATAATTTACTTACGAAATTTTTATCGTGCTTATTATAATTTTACACTAATGATTTTAGGTGAGTTTTTCAGATCAGTTTTTGCTAACAGAGGCCATCTGTCTGAGATAGTTTAATATGCTACCATGCCCAACCTAAACAATTCTACTTGAAGACCTCTTGGTCTTATAAAAGAAAGTGTTCCCTTTAGGGTTGCTAGTTCTCTGGCAGAGCATCTTATGCCAAGAAACTAATCTGTCATTCAAGATATTGAGTGATTTTATGTAAAAGATAGATTTTATTTATTCACTTATTTATTTATTTTGACAGGGTCTCTCCCTGTCACCCAGGCTGGAGTACAGTGGCACAATCATAGCTCAATATAGCCTTAACCTCCTGGGCTCAAGGATCCTCCTGCCTTGCCTCCCTAGTAACTAAGACTATTGGTGCATTCCACCACACCCAGTCAAAAAAATAGATATTATTGAATCATTATCTTGCTAATGATCCTTTTTCATCATAAGATCTGATTTAAACAAAGTGTGCTATTGAGGACATTCACTTTACAGAGGGAAAATAATGTCATCTGTAGAACACACTACTCCTAGTTGGGTCATTCTAAGAAGCCCAATTAAAAATCAGAAGTTTTTTTTATATCCTAGATAAAGAAGCATATTTATTTTAAATATTTTAAGTTCTTCCTTGTCAAAAGTAGCAGATAAACTGTATTGTTCTCATTATTTCTCATTATTCCTAGTTACAGAATTTCTTATAACTTTTCATAACTCTTAAATTTCCATCCTTATAAGCGGCATGTTTATTTATACCATTACTATGTTAAGCCACCTACTGCTGGCTGTGTTAATGTTAATTAAAGAAATATTTTGCTCCGTAATCTCTTCTCTTTTCACCAGAATTTCTTGACCATCTGAGCTTTACTTACTTGTGAACATACATTCACCTAAGCACCTTTTTTTTTTTTTTTTTTTTTTTTTTTTTTTGAGACAGAGTCTCACTCTGTCACCAGGCCGGAGTGCAGTGGCACACTCTCAGCTCACTGCAACCTCCACCTCCTGGGTTCAAGCGATTCTTCTGCCTCAGCCTCCTGAGTAGCTGAGACTACAGGCACGGACCACCATGCCCAGCTAATTTATGTATTTTTAGTAGAGACAGGATTTCACCATGTTGGGCAGGATGGTCACCATCTCTTGACCTCATGATCCACCCGCCTCGGCCCCGCGAAGTGCTGGGATTACAGGCGTGAGCCACCGCGCCTGGCCGTAAATATTTTTTACTAGCTAGAAGATTGTGTCATGTAGAGGTCTCAGCATTTCTCTTAGTATTTGACTGTATTAGTTTTACATATTTCTTCTTTTGTTTAGAGTATAACCGCTTCTTACATTTCCTTCAGTCGTTTTCTAAAGAAGAAATTAACCTTTTTAGAAATCCTGGCAGTTACCCCGCAATTGATGTTTTGGTGGAAAATTAGAGCACACCAGTTTGTCATAACTTTAAGAAACATTTTCACTTTATTGATATTCTGAGGATTTTAGTGATTTGGGTAATTTGGGTCTAATAAAGAGTAAATTGTTGAATACTCATTTGTTTTGAGTCATCTATATTTTTAAACCCTTTCTTTAGTTGTTTTTTCATCCCTAATACAAATGCAACTTTCCCACTTGCTGGTTGTTAGAGAATGGCTTCTGGGATTACTTACATAATTTGTAGACAGCCTGTTTTAATTATTCTTAGCTCACCTATGTAGCAAACCTGAATAAAGTACTCTTTAGCTCCAGATACCTAAAGAAAAGAAGCCTACTTGTAAAGCATAGTTGATGAGATGAGAGAGAGAAATGGTATCATGGGTTCTTTCCCCCAGTGTTCCCACCTTAGAGGAAAAGCACCCACATCTGAATGCTCCAACCAACCGGATATAGCTGGTAAAAAATAAGCTATCAATAAACTTTGTGAGGCAAGGCTTAATTGTTACTGGATCCTCATTTTTGTTTTACTTGTTCTTATAGACAGTCTTATAGGGACTGAATTAGATCTAAAGACATCATCTGATTAGGTGATGATGTCTGTACTCTAAAGAAGGCTTAACCCTTGTTGGCAATGCTAGCTTTTCACTAGTGTTCCTTCTGAGGACTGACTTTTTATTTTTATTTTTTGGTTCAACTGCCTTATATTTTTATGGGGAAGATAAGCTTTCAAAATAAAGTGGAAACTCTCTTAACTGATCTCCACTTAGTCACCACACCAAATTAACTGATGCCCTCTGTAAACCACAGTGGCCAGTAGCCACATTATTAACATGTCATAACAATTTCCTTATTATCATCTTGTGCCTTTTTCTGCTCTCATGATTGGATTTTTTTTTTTTTGCTTACTAATGAGTTATTTGTGTTTTATTGCATTTATGTCAATTGTATGAGTATGAAAAGATTGTTTCTATAAAACTAAGTTGCACATCTTAGAAAGACTCAGTGAACATGATGGTTTAAATAAATATTGTTTGAATTAGGTGTGGGTAAAAAACCTTAACCATAAAAGATTGGAAAGCCTCAGAAAATACTGTATTTTACGGAAATTGCTTTGCAATGTCTCTAAAATTTTTTATTCCACTCCCAAAGAACTGAACCTGGAAATCATAGGTGATTTCTGATAGGTGTGCTTTATGCAAGAAAGAAAAAAAATGTCAGTCACTGAATCTCTGTACTCAAAGAAGAAGTCTTGGACATAGATCAGTGATTGACAGACTGCGTATTTTAGGTCTTAAGTTAAACATACAACATAGATCCTGTTTTATTCTTCACATAAACTGACTTTTTTTTTTTTTTTAACATTAACTGACTTTGATTAACTGATCACTATTGCTCCTGATCACATTAGAGGTCTTTTACTGAACTAGAAGTCAGAACATTTCTTTGGCTGGATTTTGTGCTGATTTGTTTAAAATGATCTCTTGTCCAGTATGCATATCAAGTGAAAGTTCTTATTACCTTGGTGTCTTTTCTTTAAGACAGAGGAAAAATATATTCTGTATCAGAAAGTTCACAGTGGATGAGCTATCACTTGTCTTTTATCTCTTCTCATCTCAAGATTAGTTACTATGAGAATCTGAAGTATTTTGTTTTGCTTTGTTTTGTTTTTTATTGCAAGTATGACAAAAGATAGCTCTTCAGTGAGTGGAATATCCTTCAACTCCTTACTGTGAATTTCTGGAACTACTTCTACATCTCAAAAAAAATATGTATGAAATCAACTTTTTCTTGCTCTTGGCTCTCACTTCCCTAATACCTACTTTTATGAGGATAAAGCATTGTCATTTAGCAAGACCTAGTTTAATAGGTTCATAAAGATTAAATTCAAAGGAATAAAGACATCTCAAAACTCAATAATGAGAAAGCAAACAACCTGTGTTAGCCAGGGTTCCCCAGAGAACAGAACTAATCCTTGGCTGAAAATACAAACATAGGATGTGGGGTTTTTTTTCTTTTAAAGGGAGAATGAACTTTTTTTTTCACTGTTACATAAGATATTTAACATAGTAGGTATATTCCCACATTCTACAGAGGAGCTGAATCTCAGAAATACTGAATACTTGCCTTAAGACCATCTACCAAAGCCTGAATTTTAACTTGGGTTTTTAAGTCCCATGTTCTCTCTACCATGCTGTAGTTCCATAAAACATATCTACTAAAATTCAGTGAGAATGGTTTGCTCTTTTGTAATCCCTTTGGAGTAACCATAGGATTAGGAATAATTTAAACTGAAAAATAACAACTAAGCAAGGTTTGGTGGCATGCACCTGTAATCCTGGCCACTCAAAGGCTGAGGTGGGAGGATCTCTTGAGCCTGGGAGTTCAAGTCCAGTTGACCAACATAGCAAGACCCCCATCTCATAAAAAATAAAAATAACAAAAAATAGAGAGTAGAAGGGAACCTCTATAGTCTGTGATTTTTCTTTGTTGATGTCCTGTTTTTAATTTCACTGGTTCTGCTCTAATTTTTATTATTTATTTTCTTCTGCCTATTTTGGATTTAACTTGCTGTTCTTTTTCTAAGTATATCTTTTAAGAGTTCAACATTCAGCTGGGCGCGGTGGCTCACACCTGTCATCCCAGCACTTTGGGAGGCCAAGGCAGGCAGATCACTTCAGGCCAGGAGACCGGCCTGGCCAACATGGCAAAACCTCATCTCTACTAAAAATACAAAACTTAGCTGAACATGGTGGCGCACACCTGTAGTCACTCTGGAGGCTGAGGCATGAGAATTGCTTGAACCTAGGAGGCAAAGGTTGCAGTGAGCCGAGATCGTGCTATTGCACTCCAGCCTGAGTGACAGAGTGAGACTCTGTCTCAAAAAAAAAAAAAAAGCGCTCAACATACTGGTTGAATAAATTAAAACTAAGTGATTTCTGAGAGCCATAAAAAACAAGACAACAGTTTACAAATACCACGGAAATATCATAAAGCAGTTTTCAGTATTTCGTGATAATAAGGTCACTTCTGTTTATATTTTTTATACTTGCCATCTATAAAGATCATTTTGTGTACATTTTAAATTTTTTATATAGATCATTTTAGTCTGAATTTAAATATTTTTAGCATAAGTCAATACATAGGATAAATTTACAGATTAAATATTGTGTTCATATTCTAAAACAGATTTAAGGCAGCTCCCTCAAATAGCACATAGAATGAAAACAATCTGATAAAAGCTCACAAATAATTCAGTAAAAGCTCAATAGTTATAATGTTAATTCTCAAATTTGGCTTTGAATTTTCTCACAGCCAAGATAAAAAAGAGAGAGATGATTAAGATAAAAAAACCTCTGTCAGAAAGATTTTCTGTTTTTTATTCTAAGCAAACCATTTCTTAGCATCACATTACAAAAGACATTGCTCATATTGGGCATTATCTAGAATAAATTAAGTGATGTAATGAGGTAGTAATTAATATCAGTTACCCTTATAGATTTCATGTGACTGTTTCGTATAGCAACTTTCATGAAACCCAGGGATATAATATTAAATACAATTCAATGAGAGCAGTTCTATGAGTTACCAAGGTAGCCAAGTCTATCGCCCTCTAATGGTTCCCTGTATATGTCCTGTTCTTAAACTAATAGAATTTTTATTATCTAGAGTGGAAAGATTGCATATTCTTTGAATAATCTATAATATCATTTTTTCATTTTGGCTTTTGATAGGAGTTAGATAACAAGTTGAGGTTATACATTCTGATTTGGTCCTGGAATGCTAGAAATTCAATGTTTTTGGTTGAGAGAAAAAATGCATATGTTTGGAAATGAAATAACCAACTAGTAAGATTGATAATCTGTTGTAGAAATTGAAGAAATAAGCTGGTCTCTCACCTTGATAGTATACTGTCCCATCTGTGTACAGAAGAGAGGTAGAAGTAAAATGAATTTTGTTCAAGATTCCTAAGTCACTATGGCACATGAGCTAAGTTCATTGTAGCTTGGAAACCCAACAAGTAAATATTTTCAGTCACTTGTATCATAGAACACCTTTAAATACAATTTTATGGTTCATCTTGATTTTTTGTAACATAATTTTTCACATTGACAAATCCATGCATATAGTGGCAAACCCACCGGTATGAATTGCAACAAAATGCACACCTGAATAACTGAAAATAAATTAACCAGCTATTTTGTTATATTATACAAAGCAATTGAGTTTTGGAGAATTCCAGTTATCTTGCAGGGCACTATACATACAATAATGAACAAGCAGTCTCAAGGAGTTTTTACTGTAGTGACATATACCAACCATAGATGATTATAATGCAGCATTACTGGTGCTACCCACCTGGATATCCAAATACAGCCCTGAAAGATGCCAGGAATTAAACATGTGAAGAAGTAAGAAGAAACAGGAATGGCTAGAATATAAACAGTCTTCAGCTTAGGTGTAGGTGATATTCTAAAAGTCTGGTTCTAAGTTCATTGTAGCTTGAGATATACTTTTTTTTTAATGACCAAAATGTATTTATTTAATATACATCACAAGGGCTCAACTGAGGCTTAATTTAAAAGACAAAAACAAAAATAATATCACAGCTCATGATACAGAGTCTATACAGAAATCACAAAAAAAGACAGACCATCTAAGGAAAAGTTAAAAAGACGACACAAGGACAGGCTGGGCAGCCTGGGTCAGGGCTCCTGACTGGTGACCTGTTTTGAGTAGGTTTCTTGCAGATACTTCTTAAAAGCTGTGGGGTTTTTCCAGGGTTTGGCAGCATGTGTGTTCAAGGGGCTATCAATGTTGGGTTCTCCTAGTAGGCTGGAGATGGAGAGTGTTCTGGATGGAGAGCAGAATGGTCCTGATGTCATACAGGGCAGACCACTTGTCCTTCAGGATGTCCAGGCATATGTTACCCTGGGTGTCCACACTGGGATAGTAGCAGGGTGTGAGGAATTTCACCTGGGTGCATTGTAAGGGTAGTCACTGGGGAACTCTAGTGAGAGCTTATGCTTATACCTCAGGTCTTCATATATTGTGGCAGCTGCTCCATGGATGGCCCCTACCCATGTGAAAAGGTGGTCTGATTCAGGGAAGGCAGAAATGCCCTTGCTGCCACACATTATGAGTCATGAGCTCCTGTTGTTTTGCCCATGGGACCCCCAGCGGCACCCCAGCTTGGCTCTGCTCCTTTGTGGGAGGCTGCGATGCTAGTGGTGGCTGGGTCGCAATTTTGGGAGGCCATCCAGGCGGTGCTGGCAGAGACAGGAACTCGGGAGAGCTCATGACTGCAACTGGGGGGTATACTTTCCTATAGATATTACGTCGTAGGTAGATTTCTGTCTCACAAACCCTATCTAATTCATAATCTGGAATATTCCTAACATAGCATTGCAACATAGAAAGGTTTATCATTCCCTGTACCTCCTGAGAAGTAGGGAGAAAGGAATATTGAGTTCTTACTGGTAGAAAGGAGGTATAACTCTTTATTCCCTTCTTGTCTTTCTTTTCACTGCTGAATGGTTATTGGGGATAGAATTGGGGCTGAAGAAGAGGGAAAGCCAAGAAGTGTCACTCTAGACTTGGTCATCAACCCAGTCATTAGACTGAGGTAAGAAATGGGAATTATCGCTAGCAGCAAATGGAGTTCCAGAACAGTAGTGTCTATAGCTAGAATGGGGAGAGAAATAGTAAAAAGAAGGAAAAATCCCTGCAATTACTTATAGGAAGGAAAAGGGAATTTCTTTTGTGTCCTTTCTTGGTCGTCTGGCAAATGTCCCAGGTTATGGATTTTCAAAAAGCAAACGATGTGTACTTACCTGTACTTCTCAGATAAGTCTTTTTTAGAGACAAGTCTATGTTACCCAGGCTGCTGTTGAACTCCTGGGCTCAAGTGATCCTCATGCCTCAACTTCCTGAATAGCTGGGATTACAGGTGCATGCCACAGTGTCCAACTTTAGCGTCAGATAGGTTTTAAGATTATTCCCTTTTGGTGAGAGAAGGGACAAACTAGTTTTAGAAAGTGCTCCCTTTGTTCTTTCCAAACCCTGTGGGCTATAGCCAGTCAAATGTCTTACACAATCTGTATATGTATGTATGTGCGCACAGCATGTTAATGTTAATTTGATATAATATAAATTGAGGCAGTGTACTGAAAAATGAATGTAAAATCAGTCTGATTGTTTACCTGATGACTGAAATTTGGAGAAAAGCACTAGAATTTTTTTTTAATGAGATTCCTCCCATAGAATGTCCTTCTAAAAGGATTTTTGAGAAATGCATGGCTCTCAGAGTTTATGTTCATTATATATAATCTATATTCCACGCATAGTGCTTTTGATTGTCTAGAATGTTCCCCTTTTACTCACTTATTCTTTTTTTTTTTTTTTTTTTACTTTTTAAAATATATTTAAAGTCTCCAACACAATGCTGTATGTTGCAATTGTTTCTTTTTTTTTTTTTTTTTTTATTATACTCTAAGTTTTAGGGTACATGTGCACATTGTGCAGGTTAGTTACATATGTATACATGTGCCATGCTGGTGCGCTGCACCCACTAACGTGTCATCTAGCATTAGGTATATCTCCCAATGCTATCCCTCCCCCCTCCCCCAACCCCACCACAGTCCCCAGAGTGTGATATTCCCCTTCCTGTGTCCATGTGATCTCATTGTTCAATTCCCACCTATGAGTGAGAATATGCGGTGTTTGGTTTTTTGTTCTTGCGATAGTTTACTGAGAATGATGGTTTCCAATTTCATCCATGTCCCTACAAAGGATATGAACTCATCATTTTTTATGGCTGCATAGTATTCCATGGTGTATATGTGCCACATTTTCTTAATCCAGACTATCATTGTTGGACATTTGGGTTGGTTCCAAGTCTTTGCTATTGTGAATAGTGCCGCAATAAACATACGTGTGCATGTGTCTTTATAGCAGCATGATTTATACTCATTTGGGTATATACCCAGTAATGGGATGGCTGGGTCAAATGGTATTTCTAGTTCTAGATCCCTGAGGAATCGCCACACTGACTTCCACAATGGTTGAACTACTTTACAGTCCCACCAACAGTGTAAAAGTGTTCCTATTTCTCCACATCCTCTCCAGCACCTGTTGTTTCCTGACTTTTTAATGATTGCCATTCTAACTGGTGTGAGATGATATCTCATAGTGGTTTTGATTTGCATTTCTCTGATGGCCAGTGATGATGAGCATTTCTTCATGTGTTTTTTGGCTGCATAAATGTCTTCTTTTGAGAAGTGTCTGTTCATGTCCTTCGCCCACTTTTTGATGGGGTTGTTTGTTTTTTTCTTGTAAATTTGTTTGAGTTCATTGTAGATTCTGGATATTAGCCCTTTGTCAGATGAGTAGGTTGCGAAAATTTTCTCCCATGTTGTAGGTTGCCTGTTCACTCTGATGGTAGTTTCTTTTGCTGTGCAGAAGCTCTTGAGTTTAATTAGATCCCATTTGTCAATTTTGTCTTTTGTTGCCATTGCTTTTGGTGTTTTGGACATGAAGTCCTTGCCCACGCCTATGTCCTGAATGGTAATGCCTAGGTTTTCTTCTAGGGTTTTTATGGTTTTAGGTTTAACGTTTAAATCTTTAATCCATCTTGAATTGATTTTTGTATAAGGTGTAAGGAAGGGATCCAGTTTCAGCTTTCTACATATGGCTAGCCAGTTTTCCCAGCACCATTTATTAATTAGGGAATCCTTTCCCCATTGCTTGTTTTTCTCAGGTTTGTCAAAGATCAGATAGTTGTAGATATGCAGCATTATTTCTGAGGGCTCTGTTCTGTTCCATTGATCTATATCTCTGTTTTGGTACCAGTACCATGCTGTTTTGGTTACTGTAGCCTTGTAGTATAGTTTGAAGTCAGGTAGTGTGATGCCTCCAGCTTTGTTCTTTTGTCTTAGGATTGACTTGGCAATGCGGGCTCTTTTTTGGTTCCATATGAACTTTAAAGTAGTTTTTTCCAATTCTGTGAAGAAAGTCATTGGTAGCTTGATGGGGATGGCATTGAATCTGTAAATTACCTTGGGCAGTATGGCCATTTTCACGATATTGATTCTTCCTACCCATGAGCATGGAATGTTCTTCCATTTGTTTGTGTCCTCTTTTATTTCCTTGAGCAGTGGTTTGTAGTTCTCCTTGAAGAGGTCCTTCACATCCCTTGTAAGTTGGATTCCTAGGTATTTTATTCTCTTTGAAGCAATTGTGAATGGGAGTTCACCCATGATTTGGCTCTCTGTTTGTCTGTTGTTGGTGTATAAGAATGCTTGTGATTTTTGTACATTGATTTTGTATCCTGAGACTTTGCTGAAGTTGCTTATCAGCTTAAGGAGATTTTGGGCTGAGACGATGGGGTTTTCTAGATAAACAATCATGTCGTCTGCAAACAGGGACAATTTGACTTCCTCTTTTCCTAATTGAATACCCTTTATTTCCTTCTCCTGCCTGATTGCCCTGGCCAGAACTTCCAACACTATGTTGAATAGGAGAGGTGAGAGAGGGCATCCCTGTCTTGTGCCAGTTTTCAAAGGGAATGCTTCCAGTTTTTGCCCATTCAGTATGATATTGGCTGTGGGTTTGTCATAGATAGCTCTTATTATTTTGAAATACGTCCCATCAATACCTAATTTATTGAGAGTTTTTAGCATGAAGGGTTGTTGAATTTTGTCAAAGGCTTTTTCTGCATCTATTGAGATAATCATGTGGTTTTTGTCTTTGGCTCTGTTTATATGCTGGATTACATTTATTGATTTGCGTATATTGAACCAGCCTTGCATCCCAGGGATGAAGCCCACTTGATCATGGTGGATAAGCTTTTTGATGTGCTGCTGGATTCGGTTTGCCAGTATTTTATTGAGGATTTTTGCATCAATGTTCATCAAGGATATTGGTCTAAAATTCTCTTTTTTGGTTGTGTCTCTGCCCGGCTTTGGTATCAGAATGATGCTGGCCTCATAAAATGAGTTAGGGAGGATTCCCTCTTTTTCTATTGATTGGAATAGTTTCAGAAGGAATGGTACCAGTTCCTCCTTGTACCTCTGGTAGAATTCGGCTGTGAATCCATCTGGTCCTGGACTCTTTTTGGTTGGTAAACTATTGATTATTGCCACAATTTCAGAGCCTGTTATTGGTCTATTCAGAGATTCAACTTCTTCCTGGTTTAGTCTTGGGAGAGTGTATGTGTCGAGGAATGTATCCATTTCTTCTAGATTTTCTAGTTTATTTGCGTAGAAGTGTTTGTAGTATTCTCTGATGGTAGTTTGTATTTCTGTGGGATCAGTGGTGATATCCCCTTTATCATTTTTTATTGTGTCTATTTGATTCTTCTCTCTTTTTTTCTTTATTAGTCTTGCTAGCGGTCTATCAATTTTGTTGATCCTTTCAAAAAACCAGCTCCTGGATTCATTGATTTTTTGAAGGGTTTTTTGTGTCTCTATTTCCTTCAGTTCTGCTCTGATTTTAGTTATTTCTTGCCTTCTGCTAGCTTTTGAATGTGTTTGCTCTTGCTTTTCTAGTTCTTTTAATTGTGATGTTAGGGTGTCAATTTTGGATCTTTCCTGCTTTCTCTTGTAGGCATTTAGTGCTATAAATTTCCCTCTACACACTGCTTTGAATGCGTCCCAGAGATTCTGGTATGTGGTGTCTTTGTTCTCGTTGGTTTCAAAGAACATCTTTATTTCTGCCTTCATTTCGTTATGTACCCAGTAGTCATTCAGGAGCAGGTTGTTCAGTTTCCATGTAGTTGAGCGGCTTTGAGTGAGATTCTTAATCCTGAGTTCTAGTTTGATTGCACTGTGGTCTGAGAGATAGTTTGTTATAATTTCTGTTCTTTTACATTTGCTGAGGAGAGCTTTACTTCCAACTATGTGGTCAATTTTGGAATAGGTGTGGTGTGGTGCTGAAAAAAATGTATATTCTGTTGATTTGGGGTGGAGAGTTCTGTAGATGTCTATTAGGTCTGCTTGGTGCAGAGCTGAGTTCAATTCCTGGGTATCCTTGTTGACTTTCTGTCTCGTTGATCTGTCTAATGTTGACAGTGGGGTGTTAAAGTCTCCCATTATTAATGTGTGGGAGTCTAAGTCTCTTTGTAGGTCACTGAGGACTTGCTTTATGAATCTGGGTGCTCCTGTATTGGGTGCATAAATATTTAGGATAGTTAGCTCCTCTTGTTGAATTGATCCCTTTACCATTATGTAATGGCCTTCTTTGTCTCTTTTGATCTTTGTTGGTTTAAGTCTGTTTTATCAGAGACTAGGATTGCAACCCCTGCCTTTTTTTGTTTTCCATTTGCTTGGTAGATCTTCCTCCATCCTTTTATTTTGAGCCTATGTGTGTCTCTGCACGTGAGATGGGTTTCCTGAATACAGCACACTGATGGGTCTTGACTCTTTATCCAACTTGCCAGTCTGTGTCTTTTAATTGCAGAATTTAGTCCATTTATATTTAAAGTTAATATTGTTATGTGTGAATTTGATCCTGTCATTAGGATGTTAGCTGGTGATTTTGCTCATTAGTTGATGCAATTTCTTCCTAGTCTCGATGGTCTTTACATTTTGGCATGATTTTGCAGCGGCTGGTACCGGTTGTTCCTTTCCATGTTTAGCGCTTCCTTCAGGAGCTCTTTTAGGGCAGGCCTGGTGGTGACAAAATCTCTCAGCATTTGCTTGTCTATAAAGTATTTTATTTCTCCTTCACTTATGAAGCTTAGTTTGGCTGGATATGAAATTCTGGGTTGAAAATTCTTTTCTTTAAGAATGTTGAATATTGGCCCCCACTCTCTTCTGGCTTGTAGGGTTTCTGCCGAGAGATCCGCTGTTAGTCTGATGGGCTTCCCTTTGAGGGTAACCCGACCTTTCTCTCTGGCTGCCCTTAACATTTTTTCCTTCATTTCAACTTTGGTGAATCTGACAATTATGTGTCTTGGAGTTGCTCTTCTCGAGGAGTATCTTTGTGGCGTTCTCTGTATTTCCTGAATCTGAACGTTGGCCTGCCTTGCTAGATTGGGGAAGTTCTCCTGGATAATATCCTGCAGAGTGTTTTCCAACTTGGTTCCATTCTCCACATCACTTTCAGGTACACCAATCAGACGTAGATTTGGTCTTTTCACATAGTCCCATATTTCTTGGAGGCTTTGCTCATTTCTTTTTATTCTTTTTTCTCTAAACTTCCCTTCTCGCTTCATTTCATTCATTTCATCTTCCATTGCTGATACCCTTTCTTCCAGTTGATCGCATCGGCTCCTGAGGCTTCTGCATTCTTCACGTAGTTCTCGAGCCTTGGTTTTCAGCTCCATCAGCTCCTTTAAGCACTTCTCTGTATTGGTTATTCTAGTTATACATTCTTCTAAATTTTTTTCAAAGTTTTCAACTTCTTTGCCTTTGGTTTGAATGTCCTCCCGTAGCTCAGAGTAATTTGATCGTCTGAAGCCTTCTCTCAGCTCGTCAAAATCATTCTCCATCCAGCTTTGTTCTGTTGCTGGTGAGGAACTGCGTTCCTTTGGAGGAGGAGAGGCGCTCTGCGTTTTAGAGTTTCCAGTTTTTCTGTTCTGTTTTTTCCCCATCTTTGTGGTTTTATCTACTTTTGGTCTTTGATGATGGTGATGTACAGATGGGTTTTCGGTGTAGATGTCCTTTCTGGTTGTTAGTTTTCCTTCTAACAGACAGGACCCTCAGCTGCAGGTCTGTTGGAATACCCTGCCGTGTGAGGTGTCAGTGTGCCCCTGCTGGGGGGTGCCTCCCAGTTAGGCTGCTCGGGGGTCAGGGGTCAGGGACCCACTTGAGGAGGCAGTCTGCCCGTTCTCAGATCTCCAGCTGCGTGCTGGGAGAACCACTGCTCTCTTCAAAGCTGTCAGACAGGGACACTTAAGTCTGCAGAGGTTACTGCTGTCTTTTTGTTTGTCTGTGCCCTGCCCCCAGAGGTGGAGCCTACAGAGGCAGGCAGGCCTCCTTGAGCTGTGGTGGGCTCCACCCAGTTCGAGCTTCCTGGCTGCTTTGTTTACCTAAGCAAGCCTGGGCAATGGCGGGCGCCCCTCCCCCAGCCTCGCTGCCGCCTTGCAGTTTGATCTCAGACTGCTGTGCTAGCAATCAGCGAGATTCCGTGGGCGTAGGACCCTCTGAGCCAGGTGTGGGATATAGTCTCGTGGTGCGCCGTTTCTTAAGCCGGTCTGAAAAGCGCAATATTCGGGTGGAAGTGACCCGATTTTCCAGGTGCGTCCGTCACCCCTTTTTTTGACTCGGAAAGGGAACTCCCTGACCCCTTGCGCTTCCCAGGTGAGGCAATGCCTCGCCCTGCTTCGGCTCGCGCACGGTGCGCACACACACTGGCCTGCGCCCACTGTCTGGCGCTCCCTAGTGAGATGAACCCGGTACTTCAGATGGAAATGCAGAAATCACCCGTCTTCTGCGTCGCTCACGCTGGGAGCTGTAGACCGGAGCTGTTCCTATTCGGCCATCTTGGCTCCTCGCCCACTTATTCTTAATATTTATTGAAGCTACTGAAGAATCTCAGTTTATTATCTTGACCTTGTTATTTTGTTTTATATTTTTAATTTGTTCATTTTTTATGTCACTCTTATTACCCAAACTGTATTCTCTTTTGAGCCCATGTTGTAGAAGAAGATTAATCTTTGGAATTACAGAAGTTGCTTCTCTTAGTGTTTTCTCTCATTTCAAGAATTTGAGAAAAGGCCTATAGAAGGAAGCCATAAAATCGTTCTTGAGGGTAGTGTAATTTTCCCTATTTTCTGTGGTATACATTAGAGTATGACCTGTATTTGGATCTCAACTCTGTACTACTTCTACTCTGGTAGTCTTGAACAAATACATGTTTCTGTATGTCTGTTTCTTCATCTTTAAAATGAGATTAATAATTCCTAGCTCATAGTGTTATTTGGAGAATTAAATGAGATAATGTAAGTTAGTAATTTTTGAACACTGTTCTCTGGTACCCTAGAGCTGTATGGAGACATTTAATGGATCACTTGTATCTATTTTATGTTTAGGGTTCTGTAGAAGATTTGGTTTGAGAAAGAGGGTCCTGAGGCTCTCTCTTTAAAAACTCTTGAAAGCCATAGTTGTAAGTAAAGTGCCTTACACATGATAGGTGCCTTGAAGAGATACTAGTTCTCTTATGCAGGTTAGAAAATCTGTATAGCACTTCACTCCTTTTCCTCTTGGATGGTGCTCCCTCATAATCAGTATATTAAAGGGCTGTTACTTTTAACAGCTTTGTTGAGATGTAACTCACGTACTTTGCAATTCATCAATTTAAAACAAAACATTCAATGGATTTTAGGATATTTACAGAGTTGTTGCAACCACAATCTAATGTTAAAGCATTTTTGTCACCTCAAAAAGAAACCCCCTACCTAGTACCAATCACATTAAGTTGTTTTTGGACCCTATTTCCATTGTTCATTAGAAGCTGATGTTAATAAGTAAGTTACTACATCAAAAAGAGCAAAATGAACCAAATGCCTGTACTTACATAAGTCAGTGAGCCATGTTTTTTTACTGATTTATATAGTTCCAGAAATTAGAATCTGCTATGGCATTTAGCATACTTTATTTATTTATTTATTTATTTATTTATTTATTTATAGACAGGGTCTCACTATGTTTCCCAGGCTAGTCTCAAACTCCCAAGGCTCAAGCGATCCTCTCACCTCAGCCTCCCAAGTACCTGGGACTACAGGAATGTGCCACTGCACCTTAGCATACTGAGTTTTACATATGCAGTCACAAAATACTAGATTCTTTACGTTTTCCACTTCTAGAAGTTCGTTCATCTATTTTTATGACTTTTAAAAATGATTACTTGGTCTGTATACACCCCGTTCTTAGTTTCGAAATTCAGCAAATGCAAGTGCTTGTTATAAGCCAGGTGGTGGTAGACTCCTAGGGTTAAACAATTAATTAAACATGCTCTAAGGAGTTTACAGTTTTAGAAAGACACATAAACAAAGGACAGTAATATACTGTGATCTTTGTTATTATGATGAGGTGTATAAAGTGCTGTTGATACACAGATAAGGGAGTAATGAGTTATTTTGGCCAAGGAGGAGACTGGGAGAGGGTCAGAAAAGGGAGAGAGTAGGGATTGAAGGAAGAGTTGTAGAAAAGCTACAGAGAAGGTAGACGTTGAATGAGTAGAATTCACTGAGTAGATGGTAAGGAGGAATATATTCTGCAAAAGCTGAGAGAATAACTTGAGCCTAAGACTAGAGAATTAAAAGCAAACACAGTATTTAATGACAAGTTAAAGTTTAATGAAATAACTATTTGATGTGACTAGCGGAAACTGAATTTAGTGAATAGTGATAAAACAGAAAAGGTTAGCTGGATCAGAGGGCCTGAAAGTTAGTTTAACAGCTTATTTTAGCACCTTTCCCCTTCCATTCCTGACTTCACTCTGCAGATAACAGCTTTTCCCAAGCTAATATTCACATTAACAGTTCCTAGTATCATCATTGTCATTCCCCAAAGTTTTCTTTTTCTTCTTTCACTACTTTGTATCCCATATCCTTTCTCATGTAAATTATTAAATACCCGTCTTGTCCTTTCCATTCCCACAGCCACTACTGTGGCCTTTTTCCTAGAATCTCATATTTCTTTTGCTCATTTTTAGTATTATTGGTAGGACTTTCTCATTTCTAGGACTTTACTGTGTATCAATTTTAGTATTCAAACTAGCTTTATAGAGTAGCTAAAATAGTTCCTATATCAGAGAGTCTGAAGAATATGAAGGGCTGGAGAATTCATAGATAAGAGCTCACTGATAGGGAATCCTCTACATGCTGATGTAGAATATATTGTTCAGTGAAAGGAAAGGGCAGAAAAGTACAGTATCATACTTCTTGTGTCAGAAAGGAGGCGGATATTAGAATACAGACTCTGCTGATATTTGCACAAAGAAACTCTAAAAAAAACTAGAAGAAATAATAAAAGAAAATACCTATAGAAGCAGGTAGAAATGGGGTGGAAGAGGACGGGGTGAAAAATAAGGCTTCTCAGTATATGTCTTTTTATGTTGTATTCATTTTTGAACTATCTGGATATTTCATCTATAAAACTTTGGCCTTGCGTGCCACTGCAAGGGAGTAGCAGTGAAATGACTCTGATTTCTTGTTGCTCCATGTATCAAATTCACTCCTTAGTCTACTGTTTAGATGTTTCTACCTTGTGCCTTGGCATGATCTGTTTAACTGAAATGAACTATATCTATGTCCCTAAATCACTTTCAAACTTCAACTCAAAATATATCACTTCCTCCTCAATTGGCTATTTATTTCATTCTGCCTTTTAGCATAATGTATTTATGTTGTATATTTGTATATTGGTTCTACGTTGGTATTACTATAAATCCTAATATAGTTCATGAATGGTTTCCACTCCCACTTTGATTGTTTACACCCTTAATTATAAAAATTGTTTTTATAATTTCATGAATGGTTTCTACTCCCACTTGATTATTAACACCCTCAATAGTATCTGAATTATCTGAAGCATAACTTAAGAGTTATTTGATAATTTTTATTTGCTTTTGAGGATCTTAATATGTTAACTTTATTTGGATAATTTTAATCAACAAAATTTTCAATTAGGAAAGGTCTCACACAGCAAAGTTTTACTACGTTTCCGTTATCTTAAACTTCAAGATATTAAATAGGAAAACTAATAAGGAAAAAGTTTTTTTAAAAAAACAAAAAGGACAATAATTTAGTTTAAGGTAACTTTCCATCTAGTTAAGGTGAATATATGTGGATTTGCACACTAAAATAGTAAACATAACTTGACCACCTGACATGAATTTTGCATGGAGTACAATATGATTTGTATGCCAGTAACTAATTAATACAATAAGTAACAATTGTGTTTTTATCTTTGCTAATATATGTACGTTATGCAGAATTACTGCTGAATTTATCCATCAAATATGGTAAACAAAATAATCTGTTGGTTTTTTTCTATATTAAATATATATTCAAAAGTAAGACACTTTAAATTCTTTTAAGAAATGAAAGCCAGGCACAGTTGCTCACACCTGTAATCCCGCACTTTGGGAGGCTGAGACGGGCAGATTGCTTGAGCTCAGGAGTTTAAGACCAGCCTGCACAACATAGCAAAACCCCATCTCTATAAAAAAAAAATACGGAAAAATTAGCCAGGTGTGGTGACACATACCTGTGGTCTCAGCTACTCGGGAGACTGGGTTAGGAATGAGCCTGGGAAGTTGAGATTGCACCACTGTACTTCAGCCTGGTACTTCTGAACTGTACTTTTGACCTGTCTGAAAGAACATATCTTAAAATTGATCATAGAAAATAGAAACTTATAAGGTGAGTAGATCATTATGTATTTTAATGACTTAATATATTCTCATCTAATGTTTATTTTGAAACAGGCAAGAAAATTGGATGTATATTTTGAATATGAAGAAAAAATAATGAGCAAAACTACTCTGGATAAATCTCTTCTAGATATAATATCAGACCCTGATGGTATGTACCAAAAATTTGAGGTTAATGTAAGTTTCATATCTGACGAAAGCAGCATTTTCAATTGAGTAAACTTTGAATAGAATTGTTGTTTTTCTGACAGTCAATGCTAATATCAAGATAATTAAATGAGCTATTTTCTGGTAAAATTTTATAACTTAGCAGTTCCTACAGTGGAAAAATAATTTGCATTTCATTTCATTGAACTTTTATTTGATAGTATTTAGGCACATTTTATATTCACTTGTTTAAGGTGATATATGTAAAGCTTAATATCTGCTGGTTCCAGGAAGATTTGAAGGTATAACATTCAAAGCAAGTGTCTCTAAGTGATTCGCTTCCTAATTACTTTGGTCTACCCTCAATTTCCTGAAAAGATGTATCTAAAACTAAATTCTGTTTTACATGTTTAGGGAGTTTACTTTTAAAGGAACTCTATGGCCAATCACTTTAAATATTTGTATGTTAGATTTTCTTAAAATATAACTATTTGTACTTAGAAAATATGATCTATGGAGGCCAATATGTTAAGCAAAAGAAGCCAGGCGCAGAAAGACAAGTATCACATGTTCTCACTCATGTGGAAGCTTAAAAAGTAGATCTTATGATGATAGAGTTACCAGAGGCCAGGAAAGGGAGAGAGGTGGAGGGATGAAGGGAACAAAAAAATATAAACGTATTTTTTACCACTGAACTGTGCACTTAACAATGGTAAAGACTGGCCAGGCACAGTGGTTCATACCTGTAATCCCAGTACTTTGGGAGCTTGAGGCAGGAGGATTGCTTAAGCCCAGGAGTTTGAGACCAGCCTAGGCAATAAAGCAAGACCCCATATACACACAAAAAATGAAGAAAGTTAGCCAGGCAGGGTGGCATGCATCTGTAGTCCCAGCTACTTGGGAGACTGAGGTGGGAGGATCCGTTGAGCCTAGGAGTACGATGTTGCAGTAAGCTAAGATCGCACAACTGCACTCCAGCCTGGGTGGCAGAGCAAGACCTGGTCTCAAAAACAAACAAACAAAAAAAACCACAGGCAAAAATAGTAAAAAAAAAATTTAATGTAATCCAATTGTAGTTTTTAATTATAAAGATTGTGGGATCTACATAGAGTCTTAGTCTCTGAAATTCCCTAAACTTTAGAGACCTGTAGATCATTTCACAATAGTTTTGAATTCAAATCTCAGCTTTTTCCAAAACAAATGGAAAGCCTAGGACCCATTTTGCATATAAGCTATTTAAGCTGCATAATTATGGTTTTTGAGTTATAGTTTTGGTATGAATTTTAGACTATAATCCAAATTAGAAAATAATTTAAAAGTCCAAACTGTTTTATAATTAAAGATTCTATTTATACAAACATCTGAGAAGCCATAAGTATTGCTCACACTTTTAGAAAGCTAGATTTGTGGTGAGAACATAGCATTTTAAAGGTATATGCATTTTACAGTGAAAGAAATTTAAAAAGTTATATAAGTCTATCATTTCTGAGCTATTCCTTGTTATTTACAGTAACTTTCGAGTAAAGTTGAAACAAAAAAAACATGTTGACAGAAAGGCAATCAGTCCTGCTTTTTCCTTTCCCCTTTCTCAAACGATTTATCCCTAAAGATATTTAAGTAGGATAGAGCAAGGTAGGCATTCTTGCAAAGTAGCAGTCTGGTGCCACTTCGGTCCAGAATAAGATGTTGGAACCTGAGCAAGATGACTAAGGGCATCCACTCATGGAATAGAGGGAGGATTAGTAATCTGGCATGTCAAAGTTCAGGAAAGGAAAGCAGAGTGTCCACATGTGGGAGTAGTCTAGCAAGGTGTGTGAGAACCATAACAGATTGAGGAGGGTGACCCCTGCACAGGAACAAACCAGCTTGGGCCTAGGTGAGGTGAGACGTATGTCTAGGTATGTGGATGGGTCCACTGCAGGAAATCAGAGCTCAAGTGAAGTAAGAAGGGCATCCATGCAGCAAGCCCATGGAAGCAGAGATGGGATATTTGTTATATACAGGGGACTGGCTAAATAAATATATTGGATAATATAAAGAAAGCCCAATTTCCCATTGTCAGAGGAGGAATTTATAAATATAGAAAGGGAAAAAATTAGAATGAACCCTGTAGTGTTGGATTGGAATTAGAGGTGTTGGTGTGAACTTAGTGTTTTCGCTATATATCTGTTCAGATACAGAAATAAATATAGATTGTATGTTGGGGGGGGCGGTGTATACTCATGTATTCCGTAACTCTGCCAACTGAAAGGGCCTGGGAGCAGCAATGCCCAACTAGTAAAGATGCTGCCTTATAAATACAGTTTCCACTAGGACTCCTTGGAGAGGTAGCTGATTCCAGAGGTGGGGCAGGGAGCAAAAGTACAAAATGAGTCTGGAACATTTTTGTTGTGTCAGAAGGCAAGGAAGCTACTCCAAAAATGATGGAACTTGTCAAAAGAACCCAGAAGTCAGCTTGAATAGGCTCCAGATGATGACAATTTGAGCATCAAAATAAATAATAACAGATTATAACCCACTGATAAAAGAGGATGCCAAGAGTCCATGTGGACATAATAAATGAATAAATTGAAATTTCATAGGATATTTATGCAGTTTCAGAATACCTCCCCACAAAATACTTATTAACTGTAAGAAAAAGTAACGGTGCGGTGGAGAAGCCTGATAAATACCTTATTAGGTAACCACAGTGAACGTCGTCAGTAGAGAGACATAAAATAGTGGGAAAGTACTAAGCAGATTGTGGAGAGGAAGGAGCTCAGGAAAGGCTGAGAGGTAAAGGGCTAGTAGGATTCAGTGCAAAGAACACAGCATCACTGTTGTGATATTCTTGCCTCGGTATAACCTAAATCTAATCATGAGGAAATATTAGACAAAACTTAATTGTGTGATATTCTAGGAAGAAACCAGCCTATAGTCTTAAAAAGTAACCAAGGCCATGCAAGTCAAGGAAAAATGGAGGAACTGTTTCATACAGAAGAAGACTAAAGAGGCATGACAACTGTATGTGGCACATGATTCTGAAATTGATCCTTTTTCCATTAAATATACTGTAGACATAATTGGTAAAACTTCAACTAGGATCTGAGAATTAAATGATAGTGAATGTGTCATGTAGTATATCACATCGCTGTAATGGTGCCAGTGTTAATATCACATTTTGCTAATTGTTTTACTGAGGCTGTGTTAGAGAATGTCTTTGACATTTGGGGGTAATGGGACAGCAGGTCAGCATCTTACTCTCAAAATTTCAGGGAGAACAAAAGCTCTCCAAACTGTACTTAAAATTTTTCTCTAAAATACATCAGATTACTCAGTAAGGGAATTCTAACTTTAAAGCAGCAGTCAAAGGAGAGAGGTGCGTGTGACAAGAGGTTCCAAGCTGTAGCTACAGGCTTTAGAATAATCATAGTTGTAAAGGACACATGCTGACAATTTCAGTTTGGTTTCCCTGTGGTTATGTCATTATAACCATCAGTATGCTCCCCAGCCCTTAGCATCAGATTGGTCTTTAAAACCTTAGCAGATGTTCTAAGGCAGTTATTAACACTGTAGCAGTTTTAAAGTATGTTTCCTCTTGAAGAAGAGTGGGAGCTGTTCTTTCTTTAAGCAAAGTAAGTATCTACTATTAGAAAAGGCTGTGCTAGATGCTGAAGATGCTGGAAGCAAACTCGGGGACCCACAGGCCCTAAAACTCGGAGGGAGGGGAACCTTCCTCTTGTATATTAGGATCTGTGGTCCCAAGCGGGTAGGACAAGCCTCATTACTCTTTTGCCCTTTGTCCTCTAGCTGGTTGATCATAGTTGCGGCAGTTACGGCAGGAAGTGCTCAGTGAAGCAGGGTGACCAAAGCCAAAGCTTTCTAGCTGGGGCACCAAAAAGGGAAGGCCAAGGAAATGGGAAAGTACCAGGGAGATTGTGGAGAGGAAGGAGCTCAGGAAAGTAACCTCATAAAGTTGTTCATGAATTCCTGGGTTCACCCCTGAACTGCACATCTATGAAGCTGATCCTAAACAGCATTTCAAAGACTGAGAGGGGAAGAGCTAGAAGACGACCTCCCAGTCCCCAGACTGACCACTGGTTCATGGGACAGATCTCAATAGCACTTCAAGAGGTTTTGAAAATAGAATCGATGATGGAAGAATAACCTACGGAAGGCTGGTAGGAACATTAGCCTGTACTGAATCAGGCTAATTACCTGTTAAAACAAAAATATCAGTATTGTCCTAGGATTTAACAGGACCTGGAGTCTCATAACCTAATATTCCAAATGCCCCAAATACAATATTTATTTGTAAACATGAGAACTTTAGAGAACTTACCATTATCTTTATTTTACCATTCTTTGTCATCTTCAGGGAGTACGGATAATTAGAGAATGAGCGTTAGTGTTCCAAATCATATAAAAAATAAGTGTCTTATCAGTCATTATGTTTTGAAGAAAATCAGCTAGTTTTTATTCTATCATAAAATACAACAATTCTGAGTTCTTGCATCTTAGGATGCACTTTAAAGTGAGACTGAATATTGTTATTTGTCGAGAACAATGCTTTATCACCTTTCCACCAAAGTGCACATACATGATAGAAGAACAGACAATAAATGAGTTTCTCTGGACAGTCTTGGGCTTTGGGTACTAAGAGTAGTAACTCAGAGCACTGCAAGCAAGACATTACTTTGAAGTCTTATGTTTTGTCTTAAAATTTGAGGCAAATATATTCTATGTGATATAACAATTTTTTTAATAAAAATATATTGTTTTCCCATTCTTATAGTAATATAAAAGCCTTCAGAAACATGTGTATTTAGGGGCCCCCCAATTTGAGAAGTATGGCTTTAGGCTCAGCTAGATGATTTTGTTTAGCCAGCAAAGTCTCATAACCCAATTCCTAGGGTGACCATACATCTGGTTTCCCAGGATAGTCCCACTTTCATACCAGTTGTCCTTATGTAATTGTTACTGGCACCCCTTTTGCCACCTCAAAAGTATCCTGTTTCAGAATTGTATGGTTACCCTGCTTATATCCTTTCCTTTCATTGTGAGTTTATATCTAAAAGGGAAATCTCAACATTATACACAATTTGGAAGATACAATAGAGATGCTCTCATAATCACAGCCCTCTAATCCCACCTCATTTAATCTTTTCCATATTTGTATTTTACATGGTTATAATTATATGCCTGTTACCTTAGTTAAATCAAGAGCCATGTTTTGTTTTGTCACATTTATATATGCCTTGAAATGTAACATACTTGTGTTGACTATAATACATAATAACCACAATTATGAAAATATTTTTTAACCTCTTTTCCCCTATGCAGCAGGAACTCCAGAAGATAAAATGAGGTTGTTTCTTATCTATTATATAAGCACACAGCAAGCACCTTCTGAGGTATGTCCTTTATTCAGTTATTGGGAGGAAGGGGAATGCTTGTTTGTAGACTACTACAATTCAGATTTTAAAACAGAAGTAAAAATCACTGTGGCTAAATATCTGCTTCATTTCTTTCTTTAAAAGAAAAATGGCCAGGCGTGGTGACTCACACCTGTAATCCCAACACTTTGGGAGGCCGAGGCAGGCAGATCACTTTGAGCGCAGGAGTTTGAGACCAGTCTGGGCAACATGACAAAACCCCGTCTCTACTAAAAATACAAAAATTAGCCAAGTGTGGTGGCGTGCGCCTGTAATCCCAGCTGCTGGGGAGGCTGAGGCAGGAGAATCGCTTGAACCTGGGAGGCAGAGGTTGCAGTGAGCCAAGATCATGCCACTGCACTCTAGCCTGGGTGACAGAGCAATACTCCATCTCAAATAAAATAAAAGAAAAAAAAGAAAAACAATTTGTTAAGGCTGCTTCTATGTACTGCTGTGTTTTATAGCAACTTTTATTGTTACCAGGGGAAACTACCCGTGAAACATCTGACTACTTTTAAGTTGTTGGAATGTAAACTGAATTTCAGTGGCCAACATTCTTATTTTTGGAAAATAACTATTCTAAACTAAGTTAATCAGATTTGCTATGCTTTTTGAAAGGTTGACCTTATTTTAAGATTGTTTTAAAACTAATGTCCAATGTAGAAAATACGTTGTCTATTCTGTAAAAGAAAGTGGTGATTTTGGTATCAGACTTCTTCTGGGTTAGAGACTGTTGACTTTAATGTTAACTGTATACTTTTACTGGATGAGCAAGAAGCATAAGAACCTCAAGATGACATTTAGAATGTGGCTGTTCTAAGCTCCATTCCTTTGCTGGTAGCAATTTTTTGTTGTTGCTGTTGTTAGTATCTGGTAAATTGATAGGGTTTCTGTTGGTCAAAAATCTTTGGCATATTAAGACAGCAAAACTAAACCTGATATTTGCTCTCAGCCATTCTGCTTTACCCTGGGAACACAAAGCTTTACTTCTAATTTTTTAAGAAAGTGTGGTTTTCTTTTTGTAAGTATCTCTTTCAGGCCAAGGTGGGAAGATCACCTGAGGTCAGGAGTTTGAGACCAGCCTGGCCAACATGGTGAAACCCCATCTCTACTAAAAATACAAAAATTAGCTGGGCGTGGTGGTGCACATCTGTAATCTCAGCTACTCGGGAGGCTGAGGCAGGAGAATGCCTTGAACCTGGGAGGCAGAGGTTGCAGTGAGCCAAGATTGCTCCACTGCACTCCAGCCTGGACAAGAGTGGAACTCCATCTCAAAAAAAAAAAGTATCTCTCTCATCAACAGGGGTTTACCTATATATCTCAGGGTATTCTAATAGCCTAATTAAAATATTTTTCTTAAGAATATGTGATTTTAAAACTTAATTCAGTGTTCCCTTAATTTAACCACATTATTTTTATTTACTTTTGGTAAGGATTATGTCTTTTCATAAATTTAAGTGATCGTTAAGATAGGCTCCTTTAAGTTACACAAATTCAGCCAGACTTATCAGAAAATGAGTAAGGAAGAGTGAAAAAAAAAAAATTTAAAAGTGCGGGACACCTGTTGTCCAGTTAATGAATCTGGACCCCTAGAATGAAAATGAGATGAGAAACCGAAATCTGCAGCTCCCCTCAGTTGGTGTCATTCCTCTTGTGTTTCTGGTTTAGAAATATTCTTGGTCAAACCAAATCATTCATTTAGTGTGTGTCCTGAAGAAAAGCAGTCTATCCCAGCAGTAAAGGAAAAAATAGCTTTGTTGGACTTGCTGAGAAATTTAAAAATACTGTACTTTTATAGGTGATTTGGGAGCCTCTTAAAGGTAATTTTCATTATATGTGATTTTCTTGTCTTGGGTGCTCACTTGGGTACTCACTTAAGACGTGACTCCACTCTACTTGGGTGCCAAGAATTTAAACTCATGCCTTTGGTCTTACTTTTTAATTAATCAAATGGCAACAAATAACATCTTTCTTGAAAGTAAAATTTTTTGTCATATAGTTCTTTTCTTATTTCAGGCTGATTTGGAGCAATATAAAAAAGCTTTAACTGATGCAGGATGCAACCTTAATCCTTTACAATATATCAAACAGTGGAAGTAAGTTTTATTTTCTTCTTTAATTCCTGTCATTTAAAAGAGTACAATTGAGGCTTCATTCCCAAGAAAATGGGAATGCTAATAAGAAAACTGAACAATGCCTTGGTGGTTTTATATATCCAGTGGCATAAATATTTCCTTATCTGGCCCACCCTGTTTACAACTTAAAATTACATAAAACAGTGATGCCTTTCTTTCCTGGGCAAGCTTTATAGTTTCTTTACTGATAAGGTGAGAAAGTCAAAGACCGAAATGTCTGGAGTCAAATGTCTCCAAGGCATTAAGAGGAAATTTTAATTTGACTAGTAATCAAAGAAATGCAAATTAACATAATGCAAATGTTTAGAAAATACCATGCCAAGGATACAGGAAAATTCACTTGTGCATTTTATACTCTGCTATTAGGAATATAAATTGTCAAAATTTTTCTGGATGGTATAAAGAGTTCTTTAAAAATAGCTCTGACCTAGTACTTCTCTTAAGGATTTATCCCAAAGAAGTAATTGGAGCTAAGACTTTAGACACAATTGTAATAATGAAATTTTTAAAAGCAACCTAAATGTCTAGCAGTAGTGTTAGTAAGTATATTGTGGTATTTCTGCAAGATAAATACAGTCAAGTCATTAAAAATCAGAAGGCTTACTTAATGACATTGAGAAATGCTCACGTTATATTGCAAAGTAAAAAAAAAAAAAATTATAACACTCTTCATTGATTTGTTTAATAAATATTTCCTAATAGCGAGCATGATAAACAAGGCCCCAACTGTCAGTGAATTCACATTTGTGTTGAGGAAACAATTAACAAATAAGCAAATAAATGAACAGAATAATGTTAAACCATGTTAAATGACATAAGAAATAAAACTAAGTGGTAAGATTTTAACCTGCTGGGGGTGATAGCTAAATTTGCTTAGGAGATCAGGGAAAGCATCTAGTAGGCAGTCACATTTGAGCCAAAACTTAAATGACATTTTTTACAGTTATGATCCCTGTTTATCCATTTTTTCATCCATATGTATGTGTTCATATAAGCATACACATAAAAACATGTAATTACAGAGTTGAAATGGCATACAACTAAATGTTAATAGTAGATAATTCCAAATAGTAGAATTTTTTTTCCTTTTGGGTGCTTTTCTTTATTTTTCAAATTTTCTACAAAAACTATTACCTTCAAAATAGTTTTTAAAATAATTAATTTTTTAAGACTAAAGGATTAAATAGGCTTTCTGATCACAATTACATTAAAAAAAAGCATAACAAGAGAATTACACCAAGTTGTTAACAGTAGTTATCTCTTGAGTGCTGAGATTATGAGTGCTTTTTATTATCTATACTTTTGACTTTTGAAACTTACTTTTGTCTGTGTTCTTGTAATAAGAAAAAAAAATACACAACAAACCTTTGTTTAAAAGGAAAACTGAAAACTGTCTTTCCCAATTTTTATAATACAGGTTGAATCCCCCTTATCCAAAATGCTTGGAACCAGAAGTGTTTTGGATTTTTGATTTTTTCAGATTTGGGAATATTTGCATATATATATATATATATATATATATATATATATATATATATATATATATATAAATAATGAGATATCTTGGGGATGGGACCCAAGTCTAAACAAAAAATCAATTATTGTCTCATATGCATAGCCTAAAGGTAATTTTATCAATATTCTTAAGTTGTGCATTTGGACTGCAACCTGACAAGAGGTCAGTGTGGAATTTTCTCATTGTGGCATCATGTCTGCACTACAAGTAAACATTAGTGTATATTCTTTCATTGTTTATACATATGACAGATTTTTTTTCTAGAGACAAGGTCTTGCTCTGCCACTCAGGCTGGAGTGCAGTGATACAATCATAGCTCACTGTAACCTCACAGTCCTGGGCTCATGATCCTTCCATTTCAGCCTCCTTAGTAGCTAGGACTACAGGTGTGCACCACTGCACCCAGCCAGATATTTTTTAAAACTGGGAAATCATTTTTAGAGATACAGTTTTGTATTCTAGTTCTTAATAACTTTCATCATGCCAGTTCATGGAAGTATTTACTGTTTGCCTAATATTAAATCATATAAATATACTGTTATTTATTTAACCCTTCTTTGTTGTTTAGATATTGTTTCTAGTGAAAAACTATTTTTTGTTGTTGTTGTTAATGCAGAAATTCTAATCCACTGCTGATTCACATCATCCTTTCTGAACAAGACTGAAATTTTTGTTTGGGATTTCTCTAAGGGTATTGTTGGCACATTTTGTCAAGATTGAAATTGAATATTTTTAGCATTTCTACTACCACATCTTAGTGATTTACATTTTTTTCCCTTATAAAATTTTCTTTAGGTACTCTTTTTTTCCCAGTTACAAAGCATTTAAAATAAGAATCATTATGAAAGAATACTGACTGGCATAAAATGTCTATGGTGTGCCACTAAAATGTGTTATAAAACAGTGTATACAATATGATGCTAATTTTGGTTTTTAAATCATATATGTTAAATAGGCATATGTCCTAAGATTAGAAGACTATACACCAACATCTTAACAGGGGTTACCTCAAAGTGGTAGGATTCTTCTGGGAGCATTTTATATTTTCTGGATTCTCTACAGTGAAAATACTCTCAGAATAAAAATATTTTTTAAGGCACATCTAAATGCCATCTTTCTGCCCATCCTTCATCAATCGTATTGTTTAGTTACAGAGATTCTGGACATTTAGAAAGAGTTGAAAATAAACAACTGTATGCAATTAAGTGTAAAATCTGTGGTATATAATATAACTAAAGGGAAAAATCATTGAGTGGTAGAGTTAGAAGTGTTAACAAAGAAAGTGGTTTTGAACTTAGTCTTAAAAGGAAATGTACAGTTTCTATTGAAGAAGGTAGTGAATTTATACTCCCTAAAGGACAGCATGAGCAAAGGCATGTACCTGGAAACAAGGGAGCATAGAATGTAGGAAACAATAAAAAGACTAAATTATTACATGGTTGTTCTTTTAAGCCATCAAGTCTCTACATCAGTTCTTTTTATTTAAATGATCAGATAGAAATGAAGAAAAATAGGAAGTTTGGAAAACTAATGCATTTGTGCTTCTTTAAGAATTTCAGGCTGGGCGCAGTGGCTCACACCTGTAATCCCAGCACTTTGGGAGGCCAAGTTGGGAGGATCACTTGAGCCTGGGAGGTCAAGGCTGCAGTGAGCCATGATGGCACCACTGCATTCCAGCCTGGGTGACAGAGTGAGATCTTGTCTCAAAAAATAATAATAATAATTCAGTGTTTTAGTACTAATTGTAGTGTACTTGTATTCGTTGAAAAATTCTCTTTTCAGAAAATGTCTGCATCATAGAAGTTAGAGTTAGTCAGTAGATATTTTAATACCGTGACACCCAGAGTTAGTTCTAATAATTAGCTTTTAAGTACAACTTCCTTCTTTCATAGGGCTTTTACCAAGATGGCCTCAGCTCCGGCCAGCTATGGCAGCACTACCACTAAACCAATGGGGTAAGTATTTTTAATAATTCTTTTGCATCTTTGTACTCAAAACCTTACTTAGACTTTCATGCCTTAAAAACACAATGTCTGATACTTTGAATGCGGAAAATGTCACCATGCCTTTGGTGACATTTAGATGGCTGAAGTTCTCCTGGTTTTTTTTTTCTATTTTTTAACTTATTTTTCATTGACATTTAATAATTGTACATATTTATGGGGTACAGTGTGCTAATACATACCATGTGTAATTATCCAATCAGAGTAATTAGCATATCACCTCAAACATTTATCATTTTTTAGTGTTGGGCACATTCAGATTCTCACTTTAAAATGTAAGTTAATGTCTTTTACATGGTATGAGCTGAAACTTAGATAACATTTTTTATAGTATCATCCCTATTTATCCATTTATCCATCTGTGTGTATCTGTGTGGATGAGTAAACACATACATACATTTAATTGCATAGCTGAAATGATATACACCTAAATGTTAATAGTGGGTAATTCCAAGGGGTATAGTTTTTTTCTTTGGGGTACTTTTCTTTATTTTCCAAATTTTCTACAACAAATATTGTCTTCTCGATGGTTTTTATTCATATGCTTGTTTGTTATTATAACATAGTTTTCATTTTCAGAAAACATTTGAAGGTTAAAACTGTTTTAGTACCAATGTTGATAACTAATATAGACTTGAAGCTAGGCCTGGCTTCAGGATAGATTCAAGCAGTGCTAAATGATAGGAAGTCCTCAGGGCTAGGTATGACATCTTACTCCAGAGACCCCAGTGGAGTATGTGTGATTTTCAGAGAAACTGAACAAGGTAATTCTGACTACTCTTTTTGGTACCATACAGTTTCCAATTCCTAGCTTACTTTTTAGAGCTAAAACAAAAGCAGGAAGCCAGAGGAGAACAGGTTTATCCTAGCCCCACACTGAGTAACTGGTTTTAATGAAATAATTTCCAAAAACAAAAGCACTCAGCCTTATAAGTACTTGGCAAAAGGAATCCAGCTGGCCTCACCTTCAGACAGTGCTGCGCAGGTTAGCACACCCCCACAGAGTTGCCTGGTGACAGGAATCGCTCCAGGGCCATTCATTCCAACAAGGATTACTTTCTCTTGCTTCTGTTAATGAAAAGATTTCCATCCTGTCCATCTCTTCATTTCAGAGGGGAGTAAGGCAAGATGAGGAAAAGGAAAATATTTTTGGAAAATTACTTCCATGTGTTTAATAAAATAGACTTTTCAGTTTCATCCCTTAAAAATCTTATTGAACATTAGCCTATTAGAGTTCTTATGATTTTACAATTGGGATTTTGATAAATATGTTATAAGAAGCTCTTGGGTGATCTGAAAGCTGTCCCTAGCCTTCTGAGATTTTAATGCAGGATTACTAATCTGTCCCACAAAACATCTTTTAATTCCATGTGAGAGACTGTTTGAACCACAGATATAAACCCAGTATGGCAAGTCACTTATTGGTGTTTTGTTGTTGTTGTTTAAAATGTAGACAACATTCTCAGAGTTGAGGCAAAATTCGCTAAGTCTGTTCTGTTTCACATTTTTTTATGATAGATTTTATGTATAGAGAGGAGAGAAAATATACAATGTAGAATTGGATCCAGCTGCTGATAAAAGAGAACACAGTAATGTTTGACTTACTCGTAATACTTGCATATATATTTTCAATATGTTCATATGGTTTGAACTCCTAAAGCAAATTGTCCAAGTTACTAGCTTTAAATTGGTTTTTTTTAGCATTAGACAATCAGGAAGGCAAGGAATTCTCTTCAAATTATAACTCGCAAAAAAAAAATATAGCTAAGACTAGGAAATTAAGATGTTTATTTTGAGGGCAGCTCTTTATTTTTGTATTTTTTAATAATTATTGACTAATCAGAGTATTTTAATTACTATTTTATTGTTAAATAAAATTGCAGCTGTGATACCCATGGCAGCAGAAATTCTCAAGACCCTTCTGTTTAGTGAAAACAAAGGTGGTAGGTACAGCGAGCATCAGCATGTGGTGTGTAATCAGGTAAATATTTTATCGATAACAGATTGGAGAGGCACTTTGTACTTAGAATGGTCCTTCTCTTTTGCCCCTACCTAGTCTTTTATCACGAGTCATGAATACAGGATCACAGTTTGTGATGGAAGGAGTGAAGAACCTGGTTTTGAAACAGCAAGTAAGTACACTTGTTAGAAAACATACTGGTAACTTTTAAACATAAATGTTGACAGGCTAACTGCTCAGGTAAAGCAACTCCTGGATTTATTCAAGTAATAAATAGGAATCATAAAATCAAGGAGTTCCTTTTTTTTTAAGTTCTGGGGTACATGTGCAGGGTGTGCTGGTTTGTTACATAGGTAAATGTGTGCCTTGGTGGTTTGCTGCACAGATCAGCCCATCACCTAGGTATTAAGCCCAGCATCCATTAGCTCACTTCCCTATTGCTCTCCCGGCCTCCTACAGGCCCCGATGTGTGTTGTTCCTCTCCCTGTGTCCATGTGTTCTCATTGTTGAGCTCCCATGTGGTATTTGGTTTTCTGTTCCTGAGTTAGAAATCAAGGAGTTCTTTATTAGTGTATTTAAGACTCTGAGGGTATTTTTTACATGTGTAGCTCAGAGCTCTGTAATTTTATACTTTTTTAAAAAAAAATTGTTCATTTGGATTTGGACTTTACTTACATTTTGATTTGTATTTACCATCAGGTTGTTGAAAGTACGTTAATTGAAAGAATGAACCTAACCTATTTAGAATAGTGAACTGTTACATAATGAATATCATTTCTTTTAACATATAATCAGAGAATATTAATAAGCTAATGAACTTCATATCTAAAGTCCTATGTAAATTGGACTAAACAAAATATTTTAAATAGAATTTATATTTGGGGATAATAAAATTGTACCTCGATTTCGCATTTTCTTTCTTTTAGTCCTTCATTTTGTATATAGGACACTTTTAAATGACTTTTTTGTTTCTGTGATTTTTCTATTCTAATATATAGATATTCTGCTTCAGTCATTATTAATTTGGTATCTTTTCAAAAGATTTGTTTTTTACTTTTAATTTTGGAAATTTTCAAATATGCATTATCAAACTCTCCTGAATCCTTCAATTAAGTCAGTATCCATTCTTGTTTCATCTATCCCATTTGTGTTTTTTATTTACTTTTACTGGAATATTTTAAGGCAAAACTGAGATAATATTTTACACAGAAACTCAGTTTGCAGTGAGAAGGGTTTTAAAGGCCAAATCAAAAGAATCAGTTATTCAGACCTGAATATTGTTTATTTACCTGTATTCAGAAAAAAACAAGATCTTTTCTTTCCTCCACACTTTTCTTTCTTATAATGTTTGCTTGTGGTATTTTATATACTTAATCTTTATTTGTGGTTTAATAAGTTATTTTTTTCTTTTTCTTTTTTTCTGAGACAAGGTCAGGCTCTCTTGCCCAGGCTGGAGTGCAGTGATGCTAGCTGGGACTACAGGCACGCACCGCCACACCTGGCTAATCTTTGTATATTTTGTAGAGATGGGGTTTCACTATGTCGCCCAGGCAGGTCTTGAACTCCTGGGCTCAAGTGATCTTCCCACCTCAGCCTCTCAAGTGCTGGGATTACAGGTATGAGCCACTGTGCCTGGCCTCATTATCCCTTTTAGAAATTATTGTCAATCTCTCTCATTCTACCTCCTGGTAAGGAGCTACTACCAAATACTAAAGCTACTTTTTCTTACTCGTTCGTAGTACTGTCGAGAATCAGCTTATCTTCACCCTCTTAGACTATATGTGAAAAGGCACAATAGGAAGTTTGGGCACATTAGAGACAAATGTGCTATACTTTACGGCTTAGCCTGCGCCCGGTTCTTATTTATCGTCAACTGTGGACAAAATGATTTTGTTTCATGAGACAAAGGGGGACCACCAACTTCTACGGTAATGTCTGCCTTTTGCTAGATAGACTGGCTATTACATAACCATATGTAGTTTATTTTTAAGGAGAATTACATATTTTTCTTCACATGTCACTGTTAGAAGTAAATCCCAATAGTAAGATTTCCCTAAACAAAGTATTTCTTGTAACATATAACTCATAATATTTAGAAATTACAGACTTTAACCTTTAGAATAATCATGGTTTGTTTTGTTTTTGAACTTACTACCTCAGAGTCACATGGTATATATCCCCTATGATACCTGTAAAAGACATCTAAATTGGTCAATTCTTAAATATTTTATTGTGCTAACACAAAAGTTTTATTTTATTTGGAGTGCATAAGATACAGAAACAATTCTTTATGATCTTACATCTCTGTTTTTTTAATATTGCAAATAACATACCACTTTGACATAGGCAGTTTCTCACTTACAAAAGTAAAATTTGAAATGATCAGTGGTCACCCCATCTGTATATTTTTGCCACCACTACCAGAAGAGCCATGTCATTAAAAAAAAAAAAAAAAAAAAAAAGTTCAGAATTAGAGAAATAGGTATTGACAGGGGGTAGGAATGGTTCATTTTATATTATCATCAAGTAAAAGTAATAGTCATACAGTATAGTTCAATGTAGTCTTTTTTTTGTTGCTCTTTAAAAAGAGAAAAAATAGATGGTACTGAAGGACAAATACTCAGGCTTACCTAAGCTTTAAATGTTAGTTTTTTCTGGGTACATCTTCATCTCTGGTTACTACTGTCCACGACAAATTGCTAGGATTGAAATCTAGAATCAAGAGTGTAGACATTTCTAATTGTTCTTAATAAATATTACCAAATTATCCTCGAGTAAAGAGTCTCTAGAAATATGTAAACTCAGAGAAATCCATGTTAAAGCTCTATTACCCTTATATTCTAAAATTTAGAGGTACTATGGTGGGAGGTCTTGGGCAGTTTGGGAACTGAGAGGTAAGAGGTATCAAAGAAGACACTGCTGAAGATCAGTTCTGTTTCACTCTTGGAATATTATGAGTAATTTATGCCTGTTAAATCTCTAAATATTGTTTTGGATCTTTTTATCTGAATAAACAGTTTAAACTATAAATAAATTAGAATAGGATTAACTACATCCAGTTTTCTAGGTCACTTATAAGAGCTTTTTATACCTTGTTTTATGGGCAGCATAAGTTTTGTGCATCACAAGTATCAACTATCACATAAAACCAGTTGAATGTTATTCACAGATTTGGAATCTATTTGTGTGAGGATAATTGTACAAGAATGTGAAGATGAATAATGTAGCATACAGTTGCATAATTTTAGATTTCTGTTTTACTCTCTTTGGCCTGTTTGCAAAAATAATCCCTCCTTTAAAAATGAATTAACAACACATAAATTACAAGCAGTGAAAATCCATAGATTAAAAAAAGACTTAAAATACACAGTTGCAATGTCTGGCCCTTAAGATTATGATATGAACAAGAAAACTATAAAACATGATTTTATATGTCGGGTGCAGTGGCTCACGCCTGTAACCCCAGTACTTTGGGAGGCCAAGGCAGGCAGATTGCTTGAGCCCAGGCATTCAAGACCAGCCTGGGCAACATGGCAAAAGTCCATCTATCTCTACAAAAAATACAAAAAAATTAGCTGGGCATGGTGGCACATGCTTGGGAGGCTGAGGTGGGAGGATCACGTGAGCCTGGGAGATGGATGATAATTTATACAACAGTGACTGGATATCAAGTTGTGTAGTAATTGTTTCATAACAAATACATACATCAAAACATCATGTTGTACACCCAAAATATATACAACTTATTTGTCAGTCATACCTCAGTGAATCTGCAGAAGAGAATAAATCACTGTTAATTATGTAATATTATAACTTATAAATTATTTAATAATTATTAAATTATTATTTTAGGAGTGGTAATAGTGTTTTGGGGTTTTTAAGAGTTTTTATATTTTGGATATGTGTACTGAAATATTTATGGCTAAAATGATTGATTGTATATTGGAGACTTTCTTTAAAACAACGTAGGGGAATGGGTAGTAGGTGATAGTACAGGTGAAATAAGATTTGCCACGAGTTAATACTTGTGGAAGCTGGGTGAGAGAGGGATAGATGTGTCTTGGTGAGTTCACATAATCTCATTTTCTTTATTGCCATGAACACGAGATGATTTTTAAACTCATCTGTAAGATAAGGGTATTAGATACACTCTGTAGATCACAGTCTGGTTTATAATTTTAAATTTTGGAAAGAGACAGCCCATCTTATTCCCTCTCCTCGTAGCTTCACTTCACTGGCAACTTTCCACCCTTCTATCATTGATACATCTCTCATCTCCAGTGTTTCCAGTGTCCACACACGCCATCTAATTCTTTACTTGGCTGATAACTGCCTTCAAGATAAGCGTCCTCTTACAGGAGGTCCACATAGGGCTTTTTCATTCTCCAGGGCTCTGATAATCAAGACAGTAGCAATTCTTGTCCCAATCCCACTGCCAGCTTCGACATCAGAGTATCATCTGAAGCCCAGGGCTGCAAGGGAAAAGTTACAAATAGTCACCATAGATCAGTTGTCAATATAGGCAACAAGTGGCTAATTCTAAGAGAACTCAAAGGAAAAAAAACACTTCCCTATTTTGGTTATAGAACTATATTATATTTCTTAGTTGTCTTTTTTTTAAGTTTTTGTGCATATTTTATTTTGTTTTGTAATACACCATCAGAAATAAAGTTACCATTGTTTTTACCTAAGCTTTTCCGGTGACTAAAATCATAAAACACGACTAAAGTCATAAAATGAGTTAGGATTTTTGGAAATAGATTTCTCACTATATTTTTTTCAGATAAAGTTCCTAGTTCATGTATTTGAAATTTGAAGAACTTTAATTTAGGATATTCCTGTGTATAGGACTCTGTCTCTCAAATCTATATCTATAATGGCTTTCTAATAAAAATTTAGTTGCTAACTATACAATAATGTTTTCCATTTTATTTCTAAACAACAATTTCTAAGAACAAAAAATATGCTTGAGAATTCTTACAACAATGGAGTTTTTCATTTGATAAAATTTTATTTATACCCCTTTTACTGAAGCACACAGACTTTTTATGTTTCTAAAGACACATAAGTAACACTATTTGTTGAGCAAAGAATATTGTATGGTTTTGTTCTGATGTTTTCCATGTGCTAATATGTTAGCTGCTAAAATCCGGTTTTTTTAACCAGTAAAACTTGATTAACCTGGTATGTAAATTATTCTAAATATATAATTGATTTTTTTTAATGATTAAGTCAATTCAGGCCTTTATCTAGGCAAAGAATGAAGGCTAGCTAGAGCATTAGCTGGTGACAGATCTCAAAAGTTGTTTCCTGAAGTACTCTTTCCTACGTTTTAAAGACATTATGTATTTTTTAAAATCATTCTCTGTACTTGAAGCTTCCATTAATGTATGGGAGTATGTGAATATTGTATTGTATGGGAGTGGTAGATGTGTAGATGGTTTTGGTGTGTTATTTGGTTGTAAAAACCAGACAAAAACATACGAAAGAGTTGTCTCTGAAAAACCAGACAAAAACATACGAAAGAGTTGTCTCTGGGCTCTTTAATTTTTGAACAATTTTGCTGGAAAGAAATTTTTCTCATGTTACTTAATGACCTATTTGGCAGACTTGTCTTCAGATATAGCAGAACTATAAAACACAAAGTAAAATTTAATTGTATCCTTAGGAAAATCTCATTTTAGACTAAATAAAGATTTATCATGGAATATTGGTATGAATATTCAGACTTCCAATTATTTTCACAAATATAATAAAAATAATATGACCCTTATGGTTTATCATTATATATAACCTTTTCTAAATTTTCCTCCATTGTATAGATCTAAGAGTACAATGCAGGAAGATAAACACAGAATTCAGTGTAAATAGAGAAATTGATATAAAGCTCTCAATTTTCGTAAAATTTTACAAAACAATTTACAATGTTCTTTTGTTCCAGAATTTTTTAATTATTTATTCTTGTTATGTTGCAAAGTACTTCATTATCTTTTGTTGGTATTACTTGGAATTCCTAACTATAGTTTTCTCTTTTGGATAAAGCATTTTAAAATCTTTATTTAAAGCACATTTAAATCTGCACCCAGTTACTCTTTAGAGAAACTGGTTTAGACTCACTCTTAAGTGAACAGACTCAATTTTATTTGAAACAAAACTTAAAAGGTAAAATTTTGGCCGGGCGCGGTGGCTCACGCCTGTAATCCCAGCACTTTGGGAGGCCGAGGCAGGTGGATCATGAGGTCAGGAGATCGAGACCATCCTGGCTAACAAGGTGAAACCCCGTCTCTACTAAAAATACAAAAAAAAAAAAATTAGCCGGGCGCAGTGGCGGGCGCCTGTAGTCCCAGCTACTCGGGAGGCTGAGGCAGGAGAACGGCGTGAACCCGGGAAGCGGAGCTTGCAGTGAGCCGAGATTGCGCCACTGCAGTCCGCAGTCCGGCCTGGGCGACAGAGCGAGACTCCGTCTCAAAAAAAAAAAAAAAAGGTAAAATTTTGAGCCACCTTTAAAAAAAAAAATTCTGAATAGTATTCAGAAGTATATTCAGACAGCTTGAACATTTGATGCTTGTATTTATATTTGAAAGTACCTAGCCAACACAAATGAAATAGCTTTAATTTTAATTTTACTTGCCTGAGACAATCTTAAAAGGTTTTCACTTTACCAGTCTAGGGAAGGCAGCAGTATCCTTAGTGACAGTCCATTTTAATAACAATAAAATGTTTTATGATCTAAGAAAATGGAAAATCCTTATATAATAGTAATGTGTTATCAAAATGGAAAATCCTTATATAATAGTAATGTGTTATTTATAGATTTTTATCTGATCTATAAACAATCAGATTGAATGTTTTTGTTGTATGAAGTCTCTGAAATACATAAAGTACAATAGATACAAGACTGTTCTCTTCAGAACATCCTGTACAATTCACAAAGGAAATACCAGTTGAAAATGAACAGAATAACACTTCATTAGGAATGCACTTTGAATAGCCATAATTTTCTAAATTTTCTAAATTTGACTTATGTTCAAAATAATAAAACTTGTCAGACTGAAATGTAACAGTACTTCTTATGCCACAGCCTATAAACAAGTCAGGAGACAACCTTTTGCCAGCACCTGTGTTGTACATTTCGTGTTCAAAGTGGAATCTGTTCTGTAAGATGATGCAGTGCAACATTGAAAACTTGGAACTTATCCCAGGCAAAATAAAAATGGTCAATAAAGTTGTTTGTGTATCCATATACCCATTTTCCTAAGTACAAAAAATACCTTTTTATTAGAAATGAACGAACTCTTACATCATTTAATCTCATACGTTTTCACGAACTTTAAAAGTTACTTTATTTTTAAAGAGAACTTTTATAATCCACAGAGAGGAAATGAAAAAAATACAGTGGGATTCTGGCCAGGCATGGTGGCTCACGCCTGTAATCCCAGCAGTTTGGGAAGCTGATCACCTAAGGTCAGGAGTTTGAGACCAGCCTGGCCAACATGGCGAAACCCTGTCTCTACTAAAAATATAAAAATTAGCCGGGCGTGGTGGCAAGAGCCTGTATTCCCAGCTACTTGGGAGGCTGAGGCAGGAGGATCACTTGAACCCAGGAGGCAGAGGCTGCAGTGAGCTGAGATTGCGCCACTGCACTCCAGCCTGGGCGACAGCGAGTCTCCATGTCAAAAAAAAAAAAAAAACGGGATTCTTGTTTGATCAAAACAAAAGCTTGCAGTTACTAGTATTAAAAGCAAACACCCAACAAAGTAAAAAGCCCAAACATGTATTTGTACTAAAACCTGAATACACCTATACATTTAAAGAAGCATTTTACTTAGAATTATATTTTCCTGTGGAAACTTGAGTAGTGCCAAGAGTATTTACATCTTTGACATCACCTTTACCATTCACAGACTACTTAATCTTAGAATGTGTTTAATTGAAAGGTAAGCATACTTAACTGTAGAATGATCAGGTTGTTTTAATAGAGAAGAACTTTGGTTTAATATTCTAATATTTAACAAAATACTTTTCCACAGAATCTACCTGTTACTCGTATTTTGGACAATCTTATGGAGATGAAGTCAAACCCCGTGAGTACCATATAACATATTTTGTGTAAATTCCCGAATGTGTCAAACTGACTAGTATGAAAGAGGATAAAATCAGATTGAGTTCCTTGTGAGCTTAATCACAGCAGAATACATGAGGAAAAGGAAGAGTCCATGTTCTCAAGAAGCCTTTTTTAGCCATTATCACGGATTCTGGGAATTGGTTTTCTCAGCTGCCATACCCATTCTGGCCAGCTCTCATTCAAATGTCATGTAGATTATATCCTATATGTATAATTAAATGTAAAATATATCCTAAGGAACAAATTTCTATAAATGAAAAAAGAACCAGTGAGCATCTGTTGATATAGTATAAAGAGTACCAAACCAATTTAATTTTATAAAAGTTAAATTAGGAAAGAAGTGCATAGTAAAAATGTTAAGTACATATGTTTACAGGGCACTAAATTCTTTTGGGCTGAAGAAGTAAATTGACAATGAAATCATTGGGTGAATAGACAAATGGGTCAATACCGTTAGCATTGACTTAAAGAATGGGTTTCTAAGCTATCTGTTTGTAATTCAAGAAAGGAATGTAAAAATCATCACAATCTGTTTCATAAAACATCCCATCCTGTCACTGTCGCAACCAAAAGGTGGTTATTACCACAAGAATCTGGAATCAAAAACAGGCAGCATGAGCCTACCGACATCAAAACCCTGGTTTGAGTTTATCTAAAACCCTATAGATTTGGCAGTGAGGCTTAGGATTCCAATTCTAAGAAAGAGTGAGAACAGTGTCTTCAGATGAGTGTCACCTTTTTTGTAATTGTCAGAACATGACTGTAATAACAAGAAACTAACAAATTTTAAAATTCACTGGTGTGAAAACAAAGATACAGTGTAATAAAACATCTCAAAAGGGCAGTTAATATTAGGAATGGGAGAATCATTTATAATGATAAACTAAAAAGGATTGGATTCTTCCATCTGGGAATCAATACAGATAAAGTGGTATACAATGAAGTAATAATAGACTTTGTCACTACATCCTAGAATACATGAAGAAAAGGTTCTTCCTGAAAAGCCTAAGAGAGGTATACATTCATGACTAATTGACTTACAGAATACTGCTTCCTAATAGGCAATAAACTTCCAGAAGATACTATGCCAAGCAACTATAAAGATTAAAAATATAAGTAAATGCAAAACTTTAGACAGGTGCCAAATACACAGGGGGTTAAGAAATTTTGATATTTTCCAGGCATGTTTGCTTATGCCTGTAATCCCAGCACTTTAGGTGGCCAAGGCTGACAGATCACTTGAGTTCAGGAGTTTGAGACCAGCCTAGGCCATGTGGTGAAACCCTGTCTCTACAAAAAATACAAAAAATTAGCCTGGTGTGGTGATACACACCTGTAGTCCCAGCTATTCAGGAGGCTGAGGTGGGAGGATCACTTGAGCTCAGGAGGTTGAGGCTACATTGAGCCAAGATTGTGCCACTGCACTCCATCCTGGGTGACAGAGTGAGACCCTGTCTCAAAAAAAGAAAGAAAAAATTCTGTGATATTTGTTACTGTCCCTAATCTTGAAGTTGAGATGAAAAATAATGACAGTAATAATGATAATAGCTAACATTTATTGAGTACTTATCATGTTCCAGAAATCATTCAAAGCATTTTGCGGTGGTTCAAGCCTGTAATCCTAGCACTTTGGGAGGCCGAAGCAGGTGGATCACTTGAGGTCAGGAGTTCAAAACCAGCCTGGCCAACATGGTGAAACCCCGTCTCTACAAAAAATTAGTGGGGCATGGTGGCACGCACCTGTAATCCAAGCTACTCTGGAGGCTGAGGCAGGAGAATTGCTTGAACCTGGGAGGTAGAGTTTGCAGTAAGCCGAGATCATGCCACTGCACTCCAGCCTGGGTGACAGAGCAAGACTCTGCCTCAAAAAAAAGAAAAAAAAAAAAAAAGCATTTTTCACCTATTATCTCACTTAATCCTCATTAGAACTTTCTGAGAAAAGTACTAGTATTATTATTTTCATTTTATAGGTGAGGACACTGTAGTGCAATGTAACTTACCCAAGGACACACAGCTAATAAATGTCAAACTGAAGATTTTAACTAAAGGCCAAGTTTTCTACCATTATGCTGTATTGATTAGGGCAAGAATCATTCCCTTCATGGAATCCCAGAACTAGAGAGTTAAAGAAACATAAGTCATCTTAACAGTGGAAGAGAGGCAACCAAGAAATGTTGTGACTTCCCACGTCACACTACTTTTAGTAGCAGAATTGGAACCAGAAACCTACTACTGCTATATTCCTGCTTGGTGCTCATTCCAGCATACACATTCCTTCCACATTTCTCTGTCATAAACACATGGATGGCTACCTTGTGGATCTTACTGAAATGTTTTCCAAGCTGTGAAAGTTCATTGATCAGTTCCCTTGACTTTCACTTTATAACTCAAGGCATATTATTGCAGACGGATATTTTTTTACTTAACTAGGAAAAAGTAACTTTCTGTTTTGAAAGTGTTTCTTCATCTGCTAGGTGAGGCAGCTGCCTGCATTATCATCCTTCTCCTGTTCCCAGATGGACAAATTGATTTGGAGGCAATGAAGAGATTAGCAAAATGCTAAAGAGATTAGCAAAGTATACTAAGTTAGACCTGATAAATAATCTTGATTGTATCCATTTGAAATGCTGTAATCTAATTCTAGATGCATTTTTATCAGTTCATTTATTAAATGTTTTCCTTTCATTTCTTAATTGAATAAATTAAAACTAAGGCAGGATATCAGATAGGTTATCTTGCCTTGTAAGTCTGGCTGGTAGTGGTTTCTTGGAGCAAAGTGTTGAAGGATCCTTACACTATGTTTGGGTTTACTGAGAGTGCTATGATTGATTAGCAGTGTCCACCCCATTGGGTACAGGACTAAATAGTAGCAACATGTGTAGCATATTTGTCAAGAATCAGGTTTTGATAGTCCTGTCAACACTCCAGAAGAGAATTAGTTTCTCTGGCATGGTAATTAAGAACTTGGGCATTGAAAATAGACTGCCTGGGTTCAAATCCTGTAGTTCCCATACTTACTAATCATGTGACTTTAGAAAAGTTACATAACTTTTCTCTACCCCAGACTGTCAATCTGAAAAATGAGGGTAACAGTAACAACCTGATAGACCATTATTAGGATTGAGTAATTTCATCTAAAGCACTTAGAATAAAGGTTAGCACATAGTAAGTGCTCATTAAGTATTAGGGATGGTTGTTATACATTCTACAAAATTGATAGATTCATTAAAATAGGATACTCTAAGCCAAACTGACCTTCTGAAGAGAAATTCCACAGTCATGGTAAAGTTCTATTTTTTTTAATAGGAAACTGATGACTATAGATATTTTGATCCCAAAATGCTGCGGGGCAATGACAGGTAAGCAGCTTTTGTCTTGTTTAACTTGTGGATTTTTTCCCCTCGAGAATGGAAATAATTTTTTTATTATATAGTACTGCTTATTAAAAATCCAAACTATATGGAAAACTCGTAAGGAAACAAGGATGTATAATCTCATTATCCAGAGATATCTCTAGTAATGATACTTGGCATTCAGATGTTTTTCCTTCCACATATACACACACACAAATCCATTTAGACGTTTACTGGTGTTTTTATGAAATGGTGGAGGTATTAGAAACTAATTGTGGGTGAGGGAAATTTCGATAACGTGTTTTTAAATGAATATTCTTATTGGACCAATTGAAAAAAATAGGAGCTTTATATTGGATACCAGTTGTTTGGTTGTTTTTTATTTAACTGGTCCATAAAATTAAAGTCACTGGGAACCATTGCTATGTAACACCTTGTGTCAATGAAACATTCTATAAATAAATTCTGCATTTTATCACAGACATTGGATGGTAAGATATCCTTATGGATATTATTTTTCATGATTTAATTAGCGGTGGTATGACAAATAGCCTACAAGATACAGAAAAAGAATAGGCAGAATTGGGGGCAGGGGGGTGGGGGGCGGGAATAACTGCCTTGGACTGATTTGTCTGTAGCACTGAAACTCAGATGAAGCTAGTGAAGCTAGTTTGTTGCCTGTTCCTTATGTTTGGGATCTTCAGAACTTTACATTTGCTGTATCCCAAGCTTTCGTATCTTTGTAGATGGTGTGAAAATAATCTAGTCATTAGATTAAATTGTTTGATAACTTGAAACGTTATTCCCTTTTCTGAATTTACCAGAAATATCACCAAAATTGCATAAGAACTGCCAATAGCAGCTGCTGTTGGCAAGAGAGAATTTGACAAAGAATGGATTGTGGAAAGGGGGATGAGGATTGACTGCTAATGGGTACAGGACTTCTTCTAGGGGTGATAAAAATGTTCTGAAATTAGACAGTGATGGTTGTACAACTCTGTAAATATACTAAAAACCACTGATTGTACACTTTACAACAATGGATTAGCAACTTTTTTCTATATTAATGATTCTCCAGCTTACATTTTTTCCTTCCTTGCATTTAGCTAACAAGTAGATATACAGTTAGCCCTCAATATGCGTGGGTTCCTCATCCATGGGTTCAACCAATCAGGGTTCGAAAATATTTGGGGGGAAAAACGGATGGTTGAATCTATACAGAGCATGTACACACTATTTTTTTCTTGTGTTTATTCTCTAAGCAATACCTAATACAGTGTAAACTATATAGTTCGTAATACTGTTTATATAGCATTTACATTATATTAGGTATCATAAGTAATCTAGAGATTATTTAAAGTATATAGGAAGATGTGAGTAGGTTATATGCAAACACTACACCATTTTACATAAGGTACTTGAGCATCTGTGGACTTTGGTGTCTATGGAGGTTCCTGGAACCAGTCCTTCATGGATATCAAGGGAGACTATACTTGGCTTCTTGGAAATTTACTGAGAAATATTTAATCCTTAATGTAGTTTATGCATGGTAATGAGGAAGAATATTAGCATTGATAAGACAGATAAGCTTAGAGTTTCATTTTTAACAGAGCCTTCTCCTGAGCTATCCCATCACAGTTAAATCTTGGTGACTAATAACTAGTAATACTATTCTATAAGTCTTACCTCTCCTCATCCATGTCTACTGTTTAAGGAACTGGAACACTGAAGAGGCATTTCAGTCAGGTGGACTTGTAGCTTCTTCTGTGGAATATTCAGACAGGCCATAGAAATGAGGAAAAGATGATAGAACTGTGTCATCAGCCTCTGAACAATTAAGGAAAGTTATGATAGCCCTCTTTTCTCAGTTGATATTTTCAAAAATTACTTAGGGGAAAATCTAAGTTGTCCTTTTAAGTCATACTCTACAGCCTGTTTTAGCACTCAAATATGTAAGTCTAGACTCGCAAAAGCTTTGAAAAATGTCTTTATAATACTTTGGTGTCTAAGAGATCTTTAATAAATAAGCTACAGCAAAATTCAGATCCCTCCCTCCCTCCCTTCCCCATTTGCTTCCTGAGTTGTTATTCTTCCCATACATGTATTTATATAGTTTTTCCACAAATGTAGATACCCACAAACTATATATAATATTGAGTTTGGTAAAAATTTACCACATAAAATATATGCCTTATCCATTCACCACAAACCCAGACTTACGCTCCTCCTCGTGGGAGTTGCTGCTCAGTCATCTAGAATTTTATTTTAAAGTAATAGGGTTGACCCATTTCCTTTTAGACTCTGAGATATCTCCCTTTTCTAGCTGCTTCTTAATGAAACCCAGTTCACTACCTGGCTCAGCAAAATTAAAGGACCCACCCCTCTAAGAAGGTGAAGGAGGTAGAATTGTAAATACTTACCTAATAGTGCATGTGTGTGTATTTCCCATACCTATTTTATTCATAATAAAAGCCATGGGTGAAATTTTCATTACGGTTTTTCTTTATTACAGCTCAGTTCCCAGAAATAAAAATCCATTCCAAGAGGTAAGTTTCATATAAAAATTCTCTGTTCCTAGAAAGGGAAGATGAAAGGTGACCAATCTTGAAGACTGTCTGTACCAAACATGGCTTTATGATGATTAGTGTATGATAATTTGGCCTAGCAATTATATTTTTCTAATTTATAAAGCTGCTTATATTTATAATATTTTAAGCTTAAAAATAACGGACAATTCACAGGAAATGAAGTATTTCAAATTGCAGTGAGAGTTTTACATGTGTGGAACCTTTTTCTGAAATTGGATTCCAAACATTTGTGAAGATACTATGACTGTTTTCATTTGAAATACAAAGAAGCTTCTCCGTAAAAAATACAGTAAATAACATATATTGGAAATTATAGTTATTTTCCTCTAAATTGTTTCTGAAAAATCTCTTCTTCATACTACTCAAGAGACATTAGAAATTTATAAATTGACTTTTTAGAAACATTTCTTAATAATTAAAATAGCATCAGGGGCTTAGAATATGACTTTTGGCTAGCATTTTTTAACCTTAATTTTAGAAGAGGTTTCAGACTAAAAACTGTGTTTTTTTTTTTTTAATCTGTTTGCATTTTAGGCCATTGTTTTTGTGGTGGGAGGAGGCAACTACATTGAATATCAGAATCTTGTTGACTACATAAAGGTACATTTTATTTAGCCTTTTTATTCTGTTGTTAGATGGTTTCATAGGTAGAACACTAGCATACTCTGATGGCTATCCTGATCCTTCTATAACTTCTTTTCTAAAAGGTAGTTTTAAAATCATGCATATATGATTTTTAAATGTTTATTGTTTTCCTATTCCTGTCACATTCATTTCTGGCCTAAAATTGTACTTAATCTAGAAAACAATGTATCTTATTGATATAATGCACTTTGCAGCTACCTGTCTTAATATAACCTCAAATGCTTAGAGACCTCTTCCCAAAAAAAAAAAACTCTTGTGGTGAAATGATTTACAAAACTCATTTATCTGAATAATATGCACTTTACTCCTATCCTATTAGCTTAAATCAGTGACATACTTCTAACAAACTTGGATTTTTTTGTTTTGTTTTTTCAGCAAACAGGAGCTATAGAGGTAGCAAATGAAAGGGAGTGCAGGGAGTAGCAGACAGCTAAGCAAAAAGGAAGGAAGGAAGGGGCATACTTTGAAGAGGAAAAACACTATTTAAAATTCAGGGGCAACAGAATTAGCTATTTTTAGGATGTCATTTTGTAATCTTCACTTATTCACTTAACATTAAATAAAGATCATTCTTTATGTCCTTATGTCATGTATGGCCCTAATAATGGTAGAGGGTTATGGTACAATGAAGACAAAAACACACAGGCAGATGCCACAGAGCTCCAAAACAAATAACTACTCTTGGGAGTCTATCTGTTTCATAGGACACGCTTCATCTTTGCATCGTGAACCACCAAGATATATGTAAGATACCTTAGTTTCAGAAGAGCCCTGGTCTTGTACAAAGGTTTTTTATTTTTATTTTTTTAACTTTTAAGTTCAGGGGTACAAGTGCAGTTTTGCTACATAGGTAAACTCGTGTCATGGGGTTTGTTGTACAGATTATTTCATCACTCAGGTATTAAGCCTAGTACCCATTTGTTATTTTTCCTGATCCTCTCCCTCTTCCCACCCTCCACCAGGCCCCAGTCTGTGTTGTTCCCCTCTGATGTGTCCATGTGTTCTCATCATTTAGCTCCCGCTTATAAATGAGAACATGAAGTATTTGGTTTTCTGTTCCTGAGTTAGTTTGCTAATGATAATGGCCTGCAGCTCCATCTATGTCCCTGCAAAGAACATGATCTTATTCTTTTTTATGCCTGCATGGTATTCCATGGTATATATGTACCACATTTTCTTTGTCTAGTCTAACATCAGTGGACATTTAGGTTGATTCCATGTCTTTGCTATCGTGAACAGTGCTGCAAGTGAACATACCTGTGCATGCATCTTTATAATAGAATGATTTATATTATTTGGGGTATATACCCAGTAATGGGATTGCAGGGTTGAATGGTATTTCTGTCTAGGTCTTTGAGGAATCACCACACTGTCTTCCACAATGGCTGAACTAATTTATACTCCCATCGTGTTCCAAAAAGGGATGTGTATAAGTGTTCCCTTTTCTCCAAAACCTCACCAGTATCTTAAAAAAAAAAAAAAAAAAAAAAAAGGCTGACTGGTGTAAGATGGTATCTCATTGTGGTTTCGATTTGCATTTCTCTAATGATCAGTGATGTTGAGCTTTTTTTCATAAGATTTTTGGCCACATGTATGTCTTCTTTTGAAAATGTTCATGTCCTTTGCCCACTTTTTTATGGGTTTTTTTTTTTTTTTTTTTTTTTTTTTGAGACAGTCTTACTCCATCGCCCAGGTTGGAGTGCAGTGGTGCCATCTCGGCTCACAGCGACGTCTGCCTCCCAGATTCAAGCGATTCTCCTGCCTCAGCCTCTCAAGTAGCTGAGATTACAGGCGCACCCTTCCACAACCAGCTAATTTTTGTATTTTTAGTAGACACGGAGTTACACCACGTTGGCCAGATTGGTCTTGAACTCCTGACCTCAAGTGATCTGCCCACCTCAGCCTCCTAAAGTGCTGAGATTACAGGTGTGAGCCACCGTATCTGGGCTGGGGTAGTTTTTTCTTGTAAAGTTCCTTATAGATGCGGGATATTAGACCTTTGCTGGATGCATAGTTTGCACAAACTTTCTACCATCCTATAGGTTTTCTGTTGATAATTTCTTTTGCTATGTAGAAGCTCTTTAGTTTGATCCCATTTGTCAATTTTTGCTTTTGTTGTAGTTACTTTTGGTATCTTTGTCATGAAATCTTTGCCCATTCCTATGTCCAGAATGATATTGCCTAGGTTGTCTTCCAGGGTTTTTATAGTTTTGGGTTTAACATTTGAGTCTTTAATCCATCTTGAGTTGATTTTTGTATGTGGTGTAAGGAAGAGGTCCGGTTTGAGTTTTCTGCATATGGCTAGCCAGTTATCCTAGCACCATTTATTGAATAGGGAGTCGTTTCTCCATTGCTTTTGTCAGGTTTGTCGAAGATCAGATGGTTGTAGGTATGCAGTCTTATTTCTTGGTTCTCTGTTCTGTTTGATTGGTCTGTAGGTCTGTTTTTGTACCAGTAGCATGCTGTTTTGGCTACTGTATAGCCCTGTACTATAGTTTGAAGTCTGGTAGCATGATGCCTCCAGCTTTGTTCTTTTTCCTTACGATTGCCCTGGCTATTTTGGCTCTTTTTTGATTCCATATGAATTTTAAAATAGTTTTCTCTAGTTCTGTAAAGAATGTCAGTGGTGATTTAATAGGAATAGCATTGAATCTACCAATTGCTTTGGGCAGTATGGCCATTTTAATGCTATTTCTTCTTCCTATCCATGAGCATGGAATGTTTTTCCATTTGTTTGTGTCATCTCTGATTTATTTGAGCAGTGGTTTGTAGTTCTGCTTGTAGAGATCTTTCACCTCCCTAGTTAGCTGTTTTCTTGGGTATTTTATTCTTTTTGTGGCAATTGTGAATGGGAGCTTCTTCCTGATTTGGCTCTCTGCTTGACTGTTACTGTTGTATAGGCATGCTAGTGATTTTTGCACATTGATTTTGTATCCTGAGACCTTGCTGAAGTTGTTTATCAGCTTAAGAAGCTTTTGGGCTGAGACTGTGTGGGCTTTTCTAAATATAGGATCATGTCATCTGCATACAGAGACAGTTTGACTTCCTGTCTTCCTATTTGGATATCTTTTTTCTTTCTCTTGCCTGATTGCCCTGGCCAGAACTTCCAATACTATGTTGAATAGCAGTGGTCAGAGAAGGCATCCTTGTCTTGTGCCAGTTTTCAAGTGGGAATGGTTAGTACTCCTCTAGTTTCATAGCAAAAATTAAGTTGCTTGACCAGGCTCAAAAGCAGAAACCAAGGGAATATGACAGAAACCAGATGCAAACCGTCTCTATAAACGGTGCTGACAAGCTAGTACAAGTTGCCCCCTAGTCTTGACTCTAGCACAGGACTATATTCATCACTAGTTAGAACATTTCATTCAGGTTTGGCCAACAGTTAGCAACATGACTGGTTCCAGGTGTTCCCGGGGATAAACACATGGTTGCAATAGACACTTACGCATTCCACACGCTCTTACCCTTGGTTAAGCTTTTTAAATCACTTGTCATCATTCTTCTTTTGGCATCTTTTACATTATATAACAGAAAAACAAGAAGATAAACACCAAAATACTAATCATTTGTAGTTACTGAAGTAGATTATAACTTTTAAAAAAATTGCAGTTTACCAGATAATCCAGTGAAAACTTGTTCTTAATCATGTACAAGCTTGACAGTTTTACCTCTTTCTACCACAGAAAGTTGAGTTTTGTGAAATTTTATAACAATTATTAATCTAGTTATTTCTCTGATAATCTAGTCTTTTACCAGAAGACCATCTTGTAGGGATTTTAATTCAGTTTCCTTATACATTTGCTCATTCATTTGGTCATAGGATGTGTTCATATGAACCTCACCAATGATACCATTTGCACCAAGTAGCAATTACATTATGATTTAGATTGCTTACTAAATGTTTTCTCATCTTTCTCAACAAAATCAGCTCTTGCTTATATACCAAAATGTTGTAATTGACTGAGGCACCATAAGTTTCCCATAAATTCATTCTTTTTGCTCGCTCTGCCAAGATACCAGGCCATTTTCCTTGCACTACCTTGGCTTTTAATTGAGGAGCGTACTTAATCCTTCTTGAGTCTGGGTACATGTGTCTTCCCATCTTTATGTAACTGTTGAGTTTGTTTTATCATTTTTCCAGGCTGCTTGCCACCATTTCCCTTCCTCCTGAAATAACATTTCTTGTCAACAACCAGTAGGTCATTAAGTCGTCTTGCTCAGTATGTCTCTTTTCATTAAAGGCAAATCGGGCTTACCATAGGACTCATAGAACTGTGCCAGTGTTTCTGCCCAAATTGGTTTAACCATTAAATAAGTTGTTGCCATTGAGTTTTTATTGCTTGAATATAGTTTGAATATACCTTTTGGATCCAAAATCTTTCAGGAACCTTTTGAGAGATGGCGGGCGAGGGAAGACAAAAGTTTTCAGTTCCCCGAGACAGTGTCTTATGAGTAGTAATTATTCTCAGCAAAAGATCAGGGCTATAAGTGTGTAAGCCCACCTAGTTATCCTTTACTTGGTTTCAGTACTAAGAATTTTTTTAACCTTAGTGCCTTCCGCCCACAGAAACAAGGTACATAGGCATTAGAGCACATGTTACTATGAGTAGTTGGAAATGCAGCAGTTATTTTATGTCTGTGTTTCTGGACACCTTTCTTAACAAATCATAACTGCGTTTAATAGTTACGTGGTGGTCTGTGACTTCGTTGTTCAACAAAATCGTTTGTGTGCATTTCAGAGACAACGTGTCCTAATTTTGCCTCCCAAAAGTGGTTCTCTACAATAGATAAAACCAATGGGAGCCAAAAGGCAAGCATTAGAATTATTCTGTGTTTATCCTCAAGATGTTGTTATTAGCATCATCAAGATTCAGACAAAATTCTACAGATTAAATTATTAAATCTCCTGCAACCCATCTTAGACAGCTTCAAATAAAGGAGACAATTTCATCAGGTCTTATGGGCATCTGTAAATATAGCTAAGAGCATTCTCTTGCTCCCAGGCTCTTACGAGATACCAAAATAATGTTACCTTTCTTTTTTGCATTATTCATTTATTGGCTCCCTTTCTGAGAGTAAAGACTTTTCCTCCTTTCTCCTGTTGTTAGTTTTTTACCCAGACCTTGATCCCTGAGTTAGGAGACCATCACATTCGGCAAGAGGACTTACCTGTGGAGCTGACAGCAATGTGAGACTGGCCAGTGCTTTTCCCCTTTGTCCATTCCCAGTCACATGATGTTGAGGTGGATAACTACAAGTTTATAGGACTGTCTTGTCCACATGTGAGGAAAGATGAAAAAAAAACATTAATTCCAAGCTTAGATAGGTGAAAATAAAAACAGTCCATTCCATCATTCCTCAGACAGTTATATTTAGAGGTATTATCTTCATGTCATGTTTGCAACTGATCCGTCTTCCTGAGCTTGTAAATGTAATCCATATCCATGTTCTACATGATCAGTCAGAGAAAAAGAAAAATGTTCAGAAATATGGAGGAAATTGTTATCAGTTCCTGTGTTATTACTCCACCCCTCCCTTATTTTTCCTGAAGTATCTCTATAATCTGTTTAGTGTTGAGTCCCCCTTTAATTTCATGCCTTTTATGTTTTGACACACATTCCATCATGCAACTCTGTCTCTCATTACCACTTTGAAAAGTGTTTCAAACATTTGCTCCAATACTTTGTGTTTGGTAAGGTATATAAGTTAGTCTGTGGTAGATAATGGTTGTTAGCACATTGTTGAACTGCACCTGCAGTAAAGTGAGTTTCTTTATCAAATGATATATAAGTAGGAGGTCTAAATTGAAATTGTTTCTGCTGCGGCCTCTAATAATGTTAAAGGTGATTCCTGCAGCTAACAGGTATACACATCCAAATGAGTGTGTATTCTAGACAAGACCTGTTGCTGTCCACGTGGAACCATAGATAATGGCCACCATAATTCTGTGTGAATGTATGTTTTCACTTCTTTTAGGTATATACCTAAGAGTGGAATTGTTGCGTCACTTAGTAACTGTAATCATTTGAAGAACTACAGACTGTTTTCCAAAGCAGCTGCACCATTTTACATTCCCCCCAGCAGTGCATGAGGGTTCTCACTTCTCCACTTCATTACTAACACTTGCTTTGTTATCTATATTTTCCTGATGACTTACGAAGTCAAGAATCTTTTCACATGTGTATTGGCCATTTGTATATCTTTGGAGAAATGTCTGTTTAGATCCTTTGTCCCTTTTTTTTTTTTTTTTTTCCCCCCGAGACGGAGTCTCGTTCTGTCACCCAGGCTGGAGTGCAGTGGCGCAATTTTGGCTCACTGCAGCCTCTGCCTCCAGGGTTCAAGCGATTCTCCTGCCTCAGCCTCCCAAGTAACTGGGATTACAGGTGCACACCACCATCATCCACCTTGGCCTCCCAGAGTGTTGGGATTACAGGCTTGAACCACCACGCCTGGCCCCTTTGTCCATTTGTCCATTTTTAATTGGGTTATTTTGCCTTTTTATGATTGAGTTGTAAGAATTCTTTATGTAATATTGATACAAATCCCGTATCAGATACATGATTTCCAGATTTTTTCCCCCATTCTCTGGGTTGTCTTTTCTCTTTTTGTGATGGTGTCTTTTAAAGTGCAAAAGTTTATTTCGGCGAAGTCCAGTGTATCTCTTTTTTTCTTTTGTTGCCTGGGCTTTTCGTGGCATATCTAAGAATCCTTTGCCAAATCTAAGGTCATAAAGATTTGACCCTGAGTTTTCCTCTAAGAATTGTATAATTTTAAAATATGGTATGAAGATCCAGTTTCATCTTTTTGCATATCCAGTTGTTCCACTGCCATCTGTTGAAAAGACTATTCTTTCCCCCATGTAATGGTTTTTTGGCAACCTTGTTGAAAATCACTTGATGTGTATGGGTTTATTTCTGAACTCTCAATTCCATTATTTGGATCTATAGGTCTTTTCTTGCACCAGTATTACACTGTGTTGATCATCATGGCTTCCTTAGTATGTTTTTGAAATCAGGACACATGTGAGTCCTACTTTATTGTTTAGGCTTTTCTGGGTCTTTTGCAATTTTTTATGAATTTTAGAATTTGCAAATGTCTACAAAGACTGTGTTAAATCTCTGGATCAGTTTGGGGAGTATTTTCATCTTAATGTTAATTAAGGCTTCTGGTCCATGAATAGGGGATGTTTTCCTTTTATATCTTTAATTTCTTTCAATAATATTTTGTAGTCTTCAGAGTATATTTTTATGCTGTTACGAAAGGCATTTTTTTTTTTTAAGTTCTAGGGTGCGTGTGCACAACGTGCAGGTTTGTTACATGTGTATAAATGTGCCATGTTGGTGTGCTGCGCCCATTAACTCATCGTTTACGTTAGGTATATCTCCTAATGCTTTCTCTCCCCGCTTCCCTTACCCCACTACAGGTCCCGGTGTGTGATGTTCCCCTTCCTGTGTCCAAGTGTTCTCATTGTTCATTTCCCACCTATGAGTGAGAACATGCAGTGTTTGGTTTTTTGTTCTTGCTATAGTTTGCTGGGAATGATGGTTTCCAGCTTCATCTATGTCCCTACAAATGACATGAACTCATCCTTTTTTATGGCTGCATAGTATTCCATGGTGTATATGTGCCACATTTTCTTAATCCAGTCTATCATTGATGGACATTTGGGTTGGTTCCAAGTCTTTGCTGTTGTGAATAGTGCCGCAATAAACATACCTGTGCATGTGTCTTTATAGCAGCATGATTTATAATCCTTTGGGTATATACCCAGTAATGGGATGGCTGGGTCAAATGGTATTTCTAGTTCTACATCCTTGAGGAATCGCCACACTGTCTTCCCCAATGGTTGAACTAGTTTACAGTCCCACCAACAGTGTAAAAGTGTTCCTATTTCTCCACATCCTCTCCAGCACCTGTTGTTCCCTGACTTTTTAATGATTGCCATTCTAACTGGTGTGAGATGTATCTCATTGTGGTTTTGATTTGCATTTCTCTGATGGCCAGTGATGATGAGCACTTTTTCATGTGTCTGTTGGCTGCATAAATGTCTTCTTTTTAGAAGTATCTGTTCATATCCTTCGCCCACTTTTTGATGGGGTTGCTTTTTTCTTGTAAAGTTGAGTTCTTTGTAGATTCTGGATATTAGCCCTTTGTCAGATGAGTAGATTGCAAAAATTTTCTCCCATTCTTTAGGTTGCCTGTTCACTCTGATGGTAGTTTCTTTTGCTGTGCAGAAGCTCCTTAGTTTAGTTAGATCCCATTTGTCAATTTTGGCTTTTGTTGCCATTGCTTTTGGTGTTTTAGACATGAAGTCCTTGCCCATGTCTATGTCCTGAATGGTATTGCCTAGGTTTTCTTCTAGGGTTTTTATGGTTTTAGGTCTAACATTTAAGTCTTTAATCCATCTTGAATTAATTTTTGTATAGGGTGTAAGGAAGGGATCCAGTTTCAGCTTTCTACATATGGCTAGCCAGTTTTCCCAGCACCATTTATTAAATAGGGAACCCATTCCCCATTTCTTGTTTTTGTCAGGTTTGTCAAAGATCAGATGGTTGTAGATGTGTGGTATTATATCTGAGGGCTCTGTTCTGTTCCACTGGTCTATATCTCTGTTTTGGTACCAGTACCATGCTGTTTTGGTTACTGTAGCCTTGTAGTATAGTTTGAAGTCAGGTAGTGTGATGCCTCCAGCTTTGTTCTTTTTGCTTAGGATTGACTTGGCAATGCAGGCTCTTTTTTGGTTCCATATGAACTTTAAAGTAGTTTTTTCCAATTCTGTGAAGAAAGTCATTGGTAGCTTGATGGGGATGGCATTGAATCTATAAATTACCTTGGGCAGTATGGCCATTTTCAGGATAATTGATTCTTCCTATCCATGGGCATGGAATGTTCTTCCATTTGTTTGTGTCCTCTTTTACTTCGTTGAGCAGTGGTTTGTAGTTCTCCTTGAAGAGGTCCTTCACATCCCTTGTAAGTTGGATTCCTAGGTATTTTATTCTCTTTGAAGCAATTGTGAATGGGAGTTCACTCATGATTTGGCTCTCTGTTTGTCTATTATTGATGTTTGGGAATGCTTGTGATTTTTGCACATTGATTTTTGTATCCTGAGACTTTGCTGAAGTTGCTTATCTGCTTAAGGAGATTTTGGGCTGAGATAATGGGGTTTTCTAGATATACAATCATGTCATCTGCAAACAGGGACAATTTGACTTCCTCTTTTCCTAATTGAATACCCTGTATTTCTTTCTCCTGCCTGATTGCCCTGGCCAGAACTTCCAACACTATGTTGAATAGGAGAGGTGAGAGAGGGCATCCCTGTCTTGTGCCAGTTTTCAAAGGGAATGCTTCCAGTTTTTGCCCATTCAGTATGATATTGGCTGTGGGCTTGTCATAAATAGCTCTTATTATTTTGAGATACGTCCCATCAATACCTAATTCATTGAGAGTTTTTAGCATGAAGGGCTGTTGAATTTTGTCAAAGACAAAAGGCATTTTCTTAAGTTCATTTTTGGATTCCTCATTCCAAGTGCATAAAAATCCAACCGATTTTTATGTTGATCTTACGTTTCACAGCCTTGCTGAGTTTATTAGTTCCAATTGTTTTTAATGGATTTTTAGAAGTTTCTATATACAAGATCATGTTATCTATTAATAGAGATAGTTTTGCTTCTTTTCTATCTTCTGCAACTGCCCTGGCTAGAACCTTCAGTACATTGTTGAATAGAAGAGGCAAGAGCAGACATCCTTGTCTTCTTTCTCATCATACGGGCAAAGCATCTAGTCTTTGACCATTATATATTTTATTACATTATTCATAGATGCCCTTTAGATCCATTAAATTTTTAGTAGCTACTAAGCTCCCCAGTTTATTGTCCTGAGAGGATTTTTAAATCCCTTTTAGTTTTTTTGTCCTGAATAATCCTAATCTTTTCCCTACCATTCAGCCCTATTAAGAAGGAACTGAGCTAGGTCTATGACAGCCTTCCTCACATCATTAGAAACCTGTGTCAGTACAGTCTCGTAGTATGAAACTAAACATGCGACTATGCCTACATGAGACTGGCAATACAGAATTAACTAACATGGCCCTTGGTTTATACTAGTCCACAACATAAGGGGCAAGTGCCAGAAAATACTGCTGTAATTCTGATTTATTTAGTAATGTTGTTAATCTAACTCACAATGTAAATGCTATTTGGTATAACTTTGGTATAATTGGTAAAAAATAATTTGACTGATTTTATCAAAACATTTGATAATACTAATATTGATGAATTGGGAACTTGACTTAAAACCACAAGGTATTCTCTTGATGGAAGGTGATTGGTTAGAGAAAGAACTACACTGAGTTAATTTTACATTGAATCAATATACTGGTACATTTTATAAAGTTCGATTTTTTTTTCTTTTTTTTTTTTTGAGACAGAGTCTCATTCTCTCACCCAGGCTGGAGTGCAGTGGCGCAGTCTTGGCTCACTGCAACCTCTGCCTCCCGAGTTCAATCAATCAGTTCTCCTGCCTTAGCCTCCTGGGTAGCTGGGATTACAGGCATGCGCCACCACACCTGGCTAATTTTTGTATTTTTAGTAGAGATGGGGTTTCACCATGCTGGCCAGGCTGGTCTCGAACTCCTGACCTTGTGATCCACTTGCCTCGGCCTCCCAAAGTGCTGAGATTACAGGCATGAGCCACTGCGCCCAGCCCATAAAGTTCAATTTTTAACTGACAGAGTAAGTAAAGGGGTCATCAAGCTTGTACATGATTAAGAACAAGTTTGCACTGGAATGTTTGGTAAACTACAGTGTTTCTTTAAAATTACACCTACACTTCATTGGATGGCTAAAAACGATTAGAAAAGAATGATGATGAGTAATTTGGTTAAGAAAGCTTGGTCCAGGGTGGGGACTGTACAAGTCAGGATTAATCTCAACTGGGCTACTGTACCCCTGTGCTTATCTCCAAGAATACCAGGATCCATGGTGCTGATGTTTAGCCAAACCTGAATGAAGTATTAACTAGTGATGAATTCTGGGCCTGGGCTAGAGACTACGATAAACCAGGGGGCAACCTTGGGCTGGCTTGCCAGCATTGTTTAATAGAAAATGTAAAGATTGATTTTACATTTTTCACCTGGTTTCTGTCATGTTCCCTTGGTTTCTGCAGTTGAGCCTGGTCATGCTGGTCATGCAGCCCAATTTTGCCTACCTGACCAGAGAGGCATAAAAGACCTCTCCTTGAACAAGAATCAGGTTCTCCTGGGAGCTATGCCTAGAAGTTCTGGACCCCTCTAATGTTTCCCTGTGCCTGCTTTCTCCTTGCATACTGTGACCTCTACCTTTAATTAATGCCTGTTAGCCACAAGAATCCCAATTATATGACCCATATACCATCTCATTTTGAAAAAAATATGAGTTGTGGCTTTTGTTTTATTTATTCTCAGAGATGGCCATCTAGGACATGTATTCAGCCAACAATATTTGCTCAGCTTATACATCACAGAGTTGTGTTACAAAGCCATCATTCCTCTGTCCTTTGATGAATCCTCAAATTACTTTGTTCTAGAATAAACTTTTTTATATTACAAAAGAAATCTCATGAATTTACCTTCAGGTTCACGATACATACAAGAAATTAGCAAATCGCTAATAGAGAAGTTTTGGCTGTTGTGATTGGGTTCCAACATTGTAACTGTGACTTTTATTCCTGATGTTGACAATGTGGAATGAGATGTATTAACTTATAAATACTGTGTTGCTCAAGTGAGACTAAAAGCACAATCCATGCCACCTGCACCATAGCCCACTTTCAGCATAAAGAAACTCGAATGTATTCTTCAAGTAGTACACATCCTACATTGGAAGAATGTTGTTCTAAGATTTTATAGGTAACTGTTGCTCCTGTGAAATTTGACAGTGAGATTCCTTCTATTTTTAGTGTAATAGGAAATGGCACCAATAGTATGCCATAGTATATATTTTGGGGGACAAAAATACTATGCTCATTTCACCACTTTATTCCTCTTTATTTCATGCAATTTTAGGTAGATGTGTATACTAAAATCCAACAGTATCCCAAAGAAAGACTGTTAAGAATAACAAAAAAACTAGCATATTAATCTCTTTTCTTGGGAATATTGAATATATTTCTTGTTACTTGTATCTAAGTTCTGACTCTGATTTTTACAGGGGAAACAAGGCAAACACATTTTATATGGCTGCAGTGAGCTTTTTAATGCTACACAGTTCATAAAACAGGTAAAGTATACATTTGTTGTTTGTTTCTGTTAACATACCCCTAGTTGCTATTGGTATTTTTCAAAAGAGAGAAAGAAAACCACTTACTCACCTGAACCAGCCGAAACCAAAGCCATCCAGCTATACCAAGATAAGGTGTTTTCATGGACGACTAAGAAAACCTTGATAAGTAATAATGTTTCCAGTAGGAGTTTGCCCATCCTTCCAGAACTGAAAGCCTTTTCTTTGGCTTTTAATGATCCTTTAGAAATACAAAAATATATGAGAACTGTCAGTAGTGTGTCACTCATGACATTTCTCTTTATATTGTCACAAAGTTAGCACTAATTTTTTTAATTCCCAGGGTTTTTCTTTTCCATCAATTGAACGTTACCTAATAATGTTTACATTTCTTTACTATGACGACGTTTATTGCAATTCCATTTTCTTTTCTTTTTCTTGGTAGAGACAGTCTCTTGCTATGTTGCCAAGGCTGGTCTCAAACTCCTGGCCTCAAGTGATCCTCCCACCTCAGCCTCCCAAATAGCTAGGATTACAGGCATGAGCCACCATGACCAGCCTTCAGTTTTAACATTTGAGTTAGTGGTGAACATTAAGATTTATTATTCTAGGAATGCAGTGAATAAAATAGGAAGTGTAATTTATTAAGGGGTTTACAAATATGTTTGAATGTTTCTTTTATGATCTTTTTTAAAAGTTTTATGTATGATTTTGTGTTTTGTTTTAGTTGTCACAACTTGGACAAAAGTAACACAGAAGAACCTTACTATGATAATCTACTTGGAATGTGGATAAATGTAAAAAGAAGAAAAGTTAGAAGAGCAATATGTTTCCTTCTCTGTAACAGTGTCCTAACAGTGAAAATCAGAGTTATTTGTTAATTTTTAAGGAAATTATATACTTAATATGTATTGATTAAAAGAAACATTTCAGAAATAAAATTTCAACATTGTTCATTTTCTCTGATAAATCAGAAAGTACTAATATAATAACTAATAGGTTATGATTGAAGCTGGTGACATTTTAAGGTTATCATATTTAAATTTTATTTGATTGGTTCGTGAGTCCCCTACTTGTATGCATTTTAATTATACAACTACTTTCTCATAGTTTGTTGGGTATCCATGTTGCCTATAGATTTTAGATGGAGATTTTAAGCCACTTTAAGTTCCCTTCTTCTGGCACACCTATGTATATTTTATCACATAAAGTCCCTCCTTCATGTAATGGTGATCAAGGCAACACTAACATGATTTGGAATGGACAAATACAAAACAGTCATCTCATAAAGTTGTAAATAATACGTAAAAGTTAGTGTTAAACTTGATTCCAAGCTTCTTTGGTATGCAGTACTGACAAGAAGTATTGATCAGTCATACCGTTCAGTACGTCTGTAAGATAAAAAGCAAGCCAATTGCTTGAAAGGGAAGAAAAATAAACACTTCCTATTATAAAGGCCAGGGAGCCTTCCCTCCTAATGAGCCTCATATCAACAGGAATCTGTAATGTTACTGACAATACATACAAGATTCACAGGTCAAGAAAAATAATTCTAGATAGGTAGGGGTCTGTTAATCTGACTGACTTATTCCTGAGACAAAAGTGTGTGGTGGAATGGAAGGACTGAGAATACATCAAGCAGTTTTTGTAAGTAACATAAGTAACGTTTATCCTATGCAGCCAGCTAGTTAAAGTCATATCCCTAAAAAAGGATCCTAGAAAGAACACAATCCCCAAACAGTAAGCCTCTCTACCTCACTGGGGTATGAGCTGAAAGAAAGAATCTCTAGTCAGGGTCCAGATTATATTTTTTTAACTTAATACAGACACAAGTAATCAGGGTACTAAAGTTTGATGACACCAGTAATTATAGCCTAGAAAAAAATGTTATAGCAAATGTAATCAAATACTAACCTTGGCTGTTAAAAAAAAGCACTGTGGAAATGTGTTCAGGACAAACACAAAATGGCAGAGAATAGCTCACACCAAATACGATATTTCCTCTCTTAGTGCCAGCAATGTGCATCACCCATTTACTTTATTCAGTGTTCATCAAGCTTGCAAAACTTTTACACTGCTCCTGACAGTGTACTAATAGTATTTGAAATGTAATTTCAGGACTTTCCCTGCACATTAATTTGTTTAAATGTTGTTATACTGAGTCTTTGAGACATAAATATAAATATTCCACACATAAACATGAAAAATCTCTCTCTTCAAGCAATAAATTATGACATAGGGCTAGAGAGGAAAAAAAGATGAAATTTAGGTATAAAATTCAAGATCCTTTCTATAAAGAAAACACTGGGCCGGGCCCGGTGGCTAATGCCTGTAATCCCAGCACTTTGGGAGGCCAAGGCGGGCAGATTGCCTGAGGTCAGGAGTTCGAGACCAGCCTGGCCAACATGGTGAAATCCTGTCTCCACTAAAAATACAAAAATTAGCTGGACGTGGTGGCAGGCACCTGTAATCCCAGCTACTCAGGAGGCTGAGACAAGAGAATCTGTTGAACCTGGGAGATGGAGGTTGCAATGAGCCAAGATCACACCACTGCACTCCAGCCTGGGCTGCAAGAGCAAAACTCTGTCTCAAAAAAAAAGAAAAAAAGAAAACATTAACTGGAGAAAGATTTAGTGAGCGTACAGATATAAAAGATGTTAGAAAATACTTAAAGGATAGAAAAATATAAAAGCATATTTGAAAAAAACTAGAAGTTAAAAATAAAATACCTAAAATTTAACTCAGTGGATAGTTTAGCAACAGATGAAATGTGACTAAGAAGAAAATCTGAACCAGAAGATGGAGCAAAAGAAATTATCTGCAATGTAACACAAAGAGATAATGGAAGCAAAGGAAAATAAAATAGATGAATAATGGGAAGGTCAACCAGACTGGGCAACAAAGGGAGCCCCCCACGCCTACAAAAAATAAAATTACCCGGGCTTGGTGGCACGTGCCTGTGGTCCCAGCACTCCAGCCTGGGAAACAGCAAGACCTTGTTTAAAGAATGGGAAGGTCTAACAGTCATCTGGAGTTCCCAAAGGAGAAAAGAGATAAAATGTGGCAGTGATAACACTTGAGGAGATGATACCTAATAATTTTTCAAAATAGACACCTCCTAGCAGAATAAAAAAAAGTTCACCCCTTGATATCATGAAACTGCAGAATACTAAAAGTAACTCTTAACAAAAACAGTACAAGAAAAATAAGATTCACTTCTAAGGAGGGAGGAGGAAGGGAAGGGGGCGGGAGGAGGAGGAGAGAGCTGACTTCTCAGGTGCAACCGTGAGACATAAAATTGTGGAATGGCATCTTTGAAACTAATGAAAGTGAACTGCCAACTTATATGTTAATATCTAGCAAAATGCTCTTAAGAGGACAAAGTACACACAGACAAAAAAAGTTTGCCACCAGCAGAATCTCACCAAAGGAATGTCTAAAGTGTATACTTCACGTGGGAGTAAAGTGATTCCAGGTGTGAAAAGGATTGAAAATAAAAATTATGTAAAACTAAAACAACATTGTTTGAAACAACTTATGGCTTTAAAAAAAGAATTTAAATACATCACAACACAAACTGGAAGAACTCTTTTTTTTTTTTAGTATATGTGCTGCCGAAGCGAGCACTGGAAGAACTCTTAATGATCCGAAACTGTAGGATCTCCCAAATCCCAATTTTTCTTTGCCCTGACACAGGACAAACAAAATGCCTTGGCCACTGTGTGACCTGGCTAGCTTCATGTTTTCCCCTACAAGCTTGGACATTCCCAGGCACTGATAAGTTTTTTTATATTGCTGCCCAAAACACTCTTAAGATAAAATGTAGAAGCTAGCCCTGGCTCTCAGCTGTATTCCTTAAACCCCACATAAACTCCATATCCCAATCCCCTTGTTGCAGACATCGTAGAACATCTTTTTTTTCTTACTCCATCACAAGTACCATTCTAGCACCCTGTAAGTTCCCTAATAAATGTTTTGGACTGATTTTGGAATCCCAACCAGCGCCATCTCAGAACAGTTGGGGGTAGTCACTTGCAACAATTTAACTGCCACTACTTTTGGGGTAACCAACCACAGGTTTGGCCAGACAGTGTCATAAGGTCCTTGATTGGATAAAATGTGGCAGTGATAACACTTGAGATGATATCTAATAATTTTTTAAAACAGATAAACCCATTTTGCCATCTGTTAAGTACTCATTAACTTTATGTGTTTGTATATATGTACATATGTATGTATGTATGTATGTATGTATGTATGTATGTATGTATGAGACAGGGGCTTGCTCTGTCGCCCAGCCTGGAGTACAGTGGCATGATTACAGCTCACTGCAGCCTTAACCTCCCGGGCTATGGGAGGTATACGGGAAGGGGTGTGGAGCTTCCGTGTCCTGTGTGGGGCACCACCCTTCCAGCTACCTCCCCATGTTCAGCAACCCAGAAGCTCTTGAAACTCTGTACTTGTGGGTTTTTAATGGAGACTTCATTAACAGGCAGGACTGATTAAATCACTGGCCATTGCTCATCAACTCAACTTTCAGTCCCTCTTCTTTTTATTTATTTATTTATTTATTATTATTATACTTTAAGTTTTAGGGTACATGTGCACATTGTGCAGGTTAGTTACATATGTATACATGTGCCACGCTGGTGCGCTGCACCCACTAACTCGTCATCTAGCATTAGGTATATCTCCCAATGCTATCCCTCCCCCCTCCCCCCACCCCACAACAGTCCCCAGAGTGTGATGTTCCCCTTCCTGTGTCCATGTGTTCTCTTCTATCCTTGGAGATCAAAGGATAGGACTGAAAGTTCCAACCCTCTAATCACATGGTGAGTTCCCCTAGCAACCAGCCTCCGTCCTGTGGCTATCAAGGAGCCCCCAGCTATCAGGCATCTCATAACCTTACAAAAAGACATTACTTTGGCTATTACAAGGGTTTCTGCACCTGTGTGCCAGGAATTGGGAACAAAGACCAAATCTATATGTGTTATTACAAATCACAGTATCACACTGTATAACCCAGCAATTCTATTGCTAGATATCTTCTCAAAAGAACTGAAAATGACTGAACAAATCTTGTACACCAACGTATTATGCACAATAGCCAAAAGGTGGAAACAACCCAAATATCCATCATTGAATAAATAAATGTGATATATTCATTCAATGGAATATTTTTCAGCCATAAAAGAGAGTGAAGTACTGATACACGCTACAACATAGTTGAATCTTGAAAGCATTACGCGGAGTGAAAGAAACTAGACATAAAAGCTACATATTGTATTACTCCCTTTATATGAAATGTCCAGAACAGGCAAATGCATAAAGACAGGAAGCAGATTTGTGGTTGCAGGGGTTAGGGGAATAGAGGGTGGGGAGTGACTGCTTAATGGGTACGATGTTTCATTTGGGGTGATGAAAAAGTTTTGGAATTAGATAGTGGTGATGGTTACACATTGTGAATATATGTAATACACTGAATTGTAAACTTTAAAATACATTTTATGTGTATTTTACATCAATAACTTTATAATTATACTGGGAGATTCTTACATGGCATTCACAAACAGGAAAAAATAAAGATGTAAAATATTTGAAAGTACAATTAACAAACGTTGCTAATTGACTACAGTGAACCTGTACTCAACAATTACAGAACATATAATCTTCTGAAGCAGGTATGGAATATTTTTAAAATCTGATCTTACCATGAAGCAAGCCAAATGGCTGAAATCATTTTGAGCATATCTGAATCACAATGTAAGTTAGAAATCAATAACAGACTTTCAATTCAAAAGCCCACACTGGGCTTAGTTGAGACACAGTTCTAATTAACCCAATAAGTTATAAATTAGGAAATATTTTAAAATGAATAAGTTGAACAACCACAAAAATACTACATATTAAAACGTGTTGATACAACTACAGAATTTTAAGGCCCATTTAGAGTTCAAAAACAAATTATAAAAATTAAGGTTAAAATTGATAAACTAAGCATCCATCACAAGAAGTTAGAAAAATAATAAAATCAACAAGAAAAAGGTAGTAAAATGAAATAACAAAGCAGAAATTAATGAGTCAGAATCCAACGTGATAGAGAATGTTAAGGACTAAATTGTGTTACCACCCCCACCCCCTGGCATATTCACATGCTGAAGCTTTAATCTCCAATGTGACTACATTTACTTACAGATAGGGCTTTAGGTGGTAATTAAGGTTAAGTGAGGTCATAAAGATGAGGCGCTAATCCAATAGGACTGGTGTCCTTCTAAGAGGAGAAAGAGACACCAGACACCTCTCCCTCTCTCCACATGTGCACAGAAGAAAGGCTGCATGAGGACCCAGCAAGAAGGTGGATATCTACAAGCCACCAAGAGACTTCACTGGGAACCAGCCCTGAGAGCACCTTGATCTTAGACTTCCAGCCTCTGAACTGTGAGAAAATAAATGTCTGTTCTTTTAGCAACCGAGTCTACAGTATCTTGTCATGGCAGCCCAAGCTGATATACAGAAGAACAAACTTCTGGCAAAACAGATGGAAGAAAAAAAAAAAAAAAGAAAATGAAAAGACACAAAACTCCAATACTAGGAATGAAAAAAGGGACATTACTACTCATCTTGTAGACATCATATAAGTAAAATGAAACTACTTCATATTAAAAAATGAAACCACCACTTTCTTCCAAGATGGAGTCATATTTGCCAGGTTTAACCTCCCATCAGAAACAACTTTAAAACTGGACAGAATACACGCAGCAAAAGTTCTTAACACATTGGACATCAACAACAAGGACTGTGATCCCTGAGAGACAGGAAAAAAATGCGAGCGTCCTTAGATTGCCTCGGCTTATTGCCTGGAGAAAGGTTCTGGACAGCGGTGCCAGAAGGGCGAACCCAGGTGGAGACCCCTTGTCTCCTCTAGTTGAGGCGGCAGTTCTGGGAGTCCAAGGTGACCAAGAGGGCTATAGTTTTCAAGATGGAGTACCAGAAAGGAGAGCGCTGCATAGAGAACTCAAGCTCAGCAGAGGGTTCTCCTCTGTTACAGCTCGACATGTGCAAGTGAAGAAGCTACCTGAGGCTGGGAGAAGAACCACCCAAAAGCATTAGAAGGAATAGTCCTCAGACGGACCAGGAACCAACCAGAATATAAAAATGCATAATTCCCAGAGAATCGCATTTAAAAACTCACAAATATTTTGCCTTAGTAGCGAGGAAAAAATAACCTTAGTCTAAGCACTGTTCTGGTCCTGCCTAACAAAGCTTGAAAGCAATGCCCAAAAGCATCAAACTGTTTCCAAGTAACTGAACTATATCCCAGACTAAATCTCAAGAATAACTATAGCAATACAAAAATATCCAGCACCCAACAAGGTAAAATTTGCATTTAAAATCTAATCAAAACTTACCAGGAATGCAAAGCAACAGGCAAACACAAAACATAATGAGGATTAAAAAATCAATTTAAACTTAACCAAAAACATCACAGATGCTATAATTAGTAGATGAGGATAGTAAAGTATTTATTATAGCTATTTCATATGTTCAAGAAGTTAGGGGAAGACTGACCTTTTTGAGTAGAGGCATGAAACATACAACAAAGACCCAAATCAAACTTCTAAAGACAAAACCTACAATATCTGTATTAGTCTTCTATTGGTGCTATAACAAATTATCACAAATGTAGTGGCTTAAAATACCACAAATATATTACCTTACAGTTCTAGGGGTAAGAAGCCCAAAATGGTTCTCACTGGGCCAAAATCCAGAAAGGGTGGCATTTTGCATTCCTGGGAAGTATTGATTAGATTGATTTTAAATGCAAATTGTACCTGTTGGGTGCTGGCTATTTTCGTATTCCCACAGTTATTCTCAAGCTTTGGTCTGGGATGTAGTTAAGTTACTTGGAAACAGTTTGATGCTTGTCTTCTCCATGTTGTGAGCCAGTGATGGCCAGTCAAGTCTTTCTCACAATGATATTTGTTTGGTCGTGTCCCCACCCAAATCTCATCTTGAATTGTAGCTCCCATAATGCCCACATGTCATGGAAGTTACCCGGTGGAAGGTAACTGAATCATGGGAGTGGGTTTTTCCCATGCTATTCCCTTGGTAGTGAATAAGCCTCATGAGATCTGATAGTTTTACAAACAGGAGTCCCCCTGCACAAGCTCTCTTGCCTGCCACCATGTAAGACATGCCTTTGTTCTTCCTTTGCCTTCCACCATGATTGTGAGGCCTCCCCAGCCATGCGGAACTGTGAGTCCATTAAACTTCTTTCGTTTATAAATTACCTAGTCTTGGGTATATCTTTATTAGCGGCACGAGAATGGACTAATACACACAGGTAGCATTCTGACAGCGATTTTTCTGCCTGTCTCTTCTACATTTAAAGGATCCACATGGTTACACTGGGTCCACCTAAATAATCCACGATAATGTCTTTATAACACTCCGCCCCTAAAACAGCAGCATACACACACTTTTCAAGTTCTTTCAGAACATTTACTAAAGTATACCATATTCTGAACCTTTAAAAAGGTCTCAATAAATTTTAAATTTACTTAAGTTTTAAAATAAATCAATAACAGAAATGTGGAACGTGGTTGTCACAGGTTAGGCCCCCAGAAGGCAGACTCAGACCACATTTAGCATACAGGAAGGCTATTTATTAGGGAAGGTTATTGGCATGAGGAAGATGATCGGGACTAACACGCATGGCAGAAGGGATAGAAGCAGGAGTAGGCAGCAAAGGCCCAGCCCTCCAAGAGGAAGCTTCAGAGCTAGGATGGCCTTTCTGACTCATCCTGAGTTGGAGTGAAGAGGTCGGTACTTCATACCCCTTGCCAAGTAGTCACTGATACAGGCTGTCCCCAGGAAGCAGGTGTGACTTTGGGCCAGGAGACAGCTTCTGGCCAGGCATATTCCCTGAGGAAGAGGAGTCTGGCCAGTGCTGCGCGCACTTTAGCTGAATGAAACAGGGACAGGAAAAGAAGGGAAGGAGCTACCTCAAAGTGGAAAGAAGTGTAGGGGTCACATACACCCGACCTTGCCTAGCAAAGCAGAGGCCACGTCATCTGCCAAAGCCATCAAAGCAGTTGGTGCCCAGGACTCCAGGAGAGAACATTGTTTGAAGACAAGGTTGAGAAGTTAAGCTACAGAGGAGATAATGTCCCTGTTTCCTTAGAAATGGAGAAGTCCTACTTGAACTATTTAACATTTGTTCAGAAATATTTTATCAGGTAGAAACTATACAAAAACTATACAAAGAAGATGGTCTCTTTTCATGTAGTCTTTGCATTTAAAAATAAGTTGGAAAGAAATAGCCTTATTAATGGGCCAGGCGTGGTGGCTCACGCCTGTAATCCCATCACTTTGGGAGGCCGAGGCAGGCAGATCACTTGAGGTCAGGAGTTTGAGACCAGCCTCACCAACATGGAGAAAACCCATCTCTACTAAAAATACAAAAATTAGCCGGGCGTGGTGGTACATGCCTGTAATCCCAGCTACTCAGGAGGCTGAGGAAGGAGAATTGCTTGAATCCAGCAGGCGGAGATTACAGTGAGTCGAGATTGCACCACTGCACTCCAGCCTGGAGGACAGAGCGAGACTCTGTCTAAAGAAAGAAAGAAAGAGCCTTATTAATGAATATATAGGATTTTTTGCAAGGTTGTCTTAAGTTCATATAAACACTTTGTCTTGTAGATATAAAGAAGGTCATTGCCAAGGTTCTGAGAGCAAAACTTTTTCATGGGACCTATAAAAATTCTTGATCCTTAAAATATCTTTATGGGGAAGCCCTAGGCTTTATTTTATTTTATTTTATTTTTTGAGACAGAGTCTCACTCGGTCGCCCAGCCTGGAGTACAATGGAGCAATCTTGGCTCACTCTACCCTCCGCCTCCCGGGTTCAAGTGATTCTCCTGCCTCAGCCTCCCAAGTAGCTGGGATTACAGGCACCTACCACCATGCCCAGCTAATTTTTGTATTTTTAGTGGAGACAGGGTTTCACCAGGTTGACCAGGCTGGTCTCGAACTTCTGACCTCAGGTGATCCACCTGCCTCGGCCTCCGAAAGTGCTGGGATTACAGGCGTGAGCCACCGCACCCGGCCGCCCTATCCTTTCTCAAACTGTCTACAGCTAAGCCCTATCTGTCCTGGCATGGGTCATCCAGCATGGCCATCCACAACACTGCCTGCTCGCTCAGGCTGGGCAGCTCAGCAGTGCTGTACCAGCAAGCCCACAGTTTGGCTAATTCAGAAGCCAGTTTGATCTGCCTTCCAAAGGGTGACTCTCCTCAGAGGAACCGATCCCTTCCTTGAGAACACTCAGAGCAGGGTGGAGAGCAGTAAGAAAGGGAACTCCTCCACCAGGAGATTCCCAAAATTACATCAATTAATCCTCACAACAGCACTGCCACATAGGTGTTACAGCTCCAATTCTAGAGATGGAAACAAGCTCAGAGAGGATAAGTACCGTGCTCAAGGTCATAGCTGGTACATCGTGAGCCAAAGAGCAAATGCGCATCTGTCTGCTCCAAATCCATCCCCTTTCCACTGCTCAGAATTCCCTGGCTGGGGAGGCAGGAGGCTGAGCGCCTTGAGGGGCTTCTGCTCACCAATCAACCCAAGCTGGTCACTTTACCTCTCTGCTTCCTCCTGTGTGCAACGACAGTTACACAGACTAGGAGCATCTGACAGGGCCGTGGAGGCAATGCAGCCCACCTGAACCAGCCGGCTCAGGATGTTCAACAACATGAGCACCTTATCTAATGAGCTCTCCCACAGGGACGAGCAGGCTTAGATACTGCTGGAAAAAATTTGAGTAATTTTGGCACAAACATGGGAAAGGCCAATTCACTTGGCATAAAATGGGGCTGTGTGGTGGGGTAAAAAAGGTAAAGAAAAGGCCGGGCGCAGTGGCTCACGCTTGTAATCCCAGCACTTTGGGAGGCCGAGGCGGGCAGATCACGAGGTCAGGAGATCGAGACTATCCTGGCTAACACGGTGAAACCCCGTCTCTACTAAAAATACAAAAAAATTAGCCAGGCGTGGTGGCGGGCGCCTGTAGTCCCAGCTACTCAGGAGGCTGAGGCAGGAGAATGGTGTGAACCTGGGAGGCAGAGCTTGCAGTGAGCCGAGATTGCACCACTGCACTCCAGCCTGGGTGACACAGCGAGACTCCATCTCAAGAAAAAGAAAAAAAAAAAAGGTAAAGAAAAAAGGGCTGAGAGGAAATACAAGTCAAAACATAAGTTTGTCTTAAAACAGAAACATCCATTTCATCACTGATCAGGTAGTTTTTATATAGTGACAACCTGCAAGTCAGACTCACATCCTGGTGTGTTCAAAATTGTGAATTTTCAACTAATACCTTTAAAGTTTTCAATCTTTAAGTACTAGTCAAAAGAAGCTGAAGCAGGATGTAAAGAATTGAATTCACTTAAATGCATCCAGATCAGTCTGTGGACACTTGGTGAATTTTTTTGAGGTTTTGTTTTCCGTTTTTTTGTTGTTGTTGTTTGTTTTAATCATAAGGCATGGGACAACCTGACTCCAGGGGCTGAGGAGACTGTACTAATATGTGTATCAAGAAAATTAGAAACTGGATTTCTGATTTCTTCAAGTGACCACATCAAAATAAACATGCATTAAGCAGAGACAACTAGGTACTGTTCAACTTGAATTTGATGAATTGCCCCGGGCTCAACAGAATTGTAGGATTTCAAAAACTGATACCCGAAGAGATTCCTGGATGTTGGTGAGTATGTATCAGTCTTTAAATATCTGTAGATGCTTTTACAGTGGAAACCTCAGGATGTTTTTAGATTCTCAAGCATCAGCCCATCAATGTGGCTCAACTTCAAAAGGAACAGCTGATTGCACTAAAGCAAGCTGTATGTACTAAGATGGCATGGTACCCTAAGAATGCAGAGACAGTGATGCGAACTCTGGGACCTCCTGGGATGATGGCTGACTGTAATAACAGTATGTGGAATTTACCTGCCAGCATCATTATCCCTGATTTTTGTCATCCCGATCTTTCTTTCCCCACTTTCATCCACTTGTCTCAGGTGAAGCTGATGCCATTCCTGACAACAGTAATTGGTTAGGGGATAGATATGTAACCAAACCCAGCAAATAAGAGGTAATTAGGCTCCTGCTGAGGTCACTGCTTATGAGGCACAAGAGGGCCACTCTCTCTTCTGCTAAACTTAAACTGGAGGGCCTTAAACATGAGGCTGTGGATATCACCCCAACAAGCCTGAGAATGTGGAGCCCAGAGATGTCCTAGTGACATCATTTGAACACCCTGGGTCTATCCATTAGTGTAACCTGAGAGTTGCAGCCACAGAGGCAAAGAAAACCTTGAGACAGACGCAAAATCCAATAGATGATTTAAATATCCTAAAAGAGCCAAAGACAGGCAAACAAAAATAAGAAACAATGGTTTTTAGATGATGGACATCTGGAAGCATAGGACAGTGATCCCCCAGAGAGGAGAAACAAAGTGAACCCTGTGATTTCCCCCGCTCTCTTCCTGGAGAGGTTTTTCAGGCTGCAGCACAGGCAAGGCTAGCCCAGAGTCTCCCTGAATGGAAGGGACAGAGTGGGGCATCCAGGGAGGTCAAGGAAGCTAGAATTCACAGGGCAGAGTACCAGAGAGAAGAAGAGAGGGACCCCAGAAGAGAGCTCCAGAGATGTGTAGAAGTTCCCCCTTGAGTATTCAGCTCATCAGTGCCTGTGTGTGAGGAAACTACCAAAGGCCAAAGAAAGAACCCCACAAAAGGATGAAAGAGAAGCAAACAACCCTCTGTGCTCTTGTGGGGCCAGGAATAGTGTCTGCTCCCACCAGCCAGAGTGGAAAGCTTCTCAACTCATGGGGTATTCGGCAGAGGACTCAAAAGAGTTTTGCCTCAGTAATGGGAAAAATTAGACCTAAACTAAATACTATTCTATTCCCACCTAACAATCTTGAAAGCAAGACACAAAAAGATCAAACTGTTTCCAAGTAACTTAACCATGTCCCAGAAAGCTCAAGAATAAAGGAATATAAAAATATCTTATCACCCAACAAGGTAAACGTCACAATGTCTGGAACCAAATTAAAACTTACCAAATAAGAAACAGGGCAATCAAACCCATAATAAAAGGAAAAATTCTCAATAGAAACAGATCCAGAAATGTCACAGATGTTAGGATTACTTGTCAATAAGGACTTTAAGTATTATAAATAGATTCCATTTATTCAAGGCAGAAAAATGTGAGCATTTAAAAATAGAAATGTAGAACATATAAGACCCAAGTTGAACTCCCAGAAATTGAAAAATTATCTAAGATGAAAAATTTGCTAAGTATGTTAGTAGAATGTTTATAAATTGAACTTTGCCTATGAAGAACTGAGTTTTTTCAGTTTAGTTTTAATGAATCAAAAATTAACTTTTTAAACAAAAATAGCTCCTAAATATATTTTGTCACTAAAAACTGTAAGTTTTTAGTGACAAAACTATACCTGACCTACAGCTCAGGTCACTACCGTTTTAGTGACAAAAACTGACCTACAGCTCTTTCAATTACCCATCAATAAATCCCCTTTTTGGATTAAGAAAGTTTGAAAGGATTTTCATTTGCAAAACAACAAGTCATGAGATAATTGCCAAACCCTGGACAATAATCAGTCTAACTGGTTCTGAGAAAACACATCCTCTTTCACAGAACTGCTATCTGATGCCAAAGCACATTAGTGACATAGACACAGATTCAGAATTGAGATGTACCCACAGAATAAAAACCACAGTTCAAGAACTCCCAGAAGTCTCTTTGATTTTTATTATATTTGACCAATTACGTACACTAGGCCTATAACTATGAACCTTCCTCAGGTAAAAATTAAGTTGGTTTTGGACTACCTTTTGTATCACGCTGTGAAAATGTGTTTTGAATATTAATTCTGTTAATTTTTAAAATTATACAGTTCATATTGTGTAATTCATACACAAATGAATTTCTAATCATGTATCCCCTACTTTACCTTGGATTAGATAATCCTCAAATGCCCCACTATCATTAATATTCTAAGATTGCAAACAAACTTACAGAAAGCTGATTTATAAACTTGTAATTTGGGGTTGGTTGGGGTGGAGAATAGGGTCTCACTCTGTTGCCCATGCTGGAGTGCAGTGGTGCAATAACAGCTCACTGCAGCCTCGACCTCCCAGACTCAAGCTATCCTCCCATGTAGCTGGGACTACAGGCATGCACCACGATGCCCGGCTAATTTTTTTTATTTTTTGAGACAGGGTTTTGACATGTTGCCCAGGCTAGTCTTGAACTCCTGGGCTCAAGTGACCCTCACACTTCAGCCTCCCAAAGTGCTGGAATTACAGGTGTGAGCCACCACACCCGGCCTAAACTTGTAATTTGTAAGTTAACATATACCAAGAATCAGCAATGATCAATCACATGGGTCACCTCTTGTAAGAGGCAGAAGGAAATTACAAAGAAGAGGAAGTTAACAGTTTGCGCTTCTGTCATCCCTCAGGGGCTTTGTTAGGTGCTCTGTATGTTAGCTCATTTAATCCTAATAAAAATCCCAGGAAAATGTATAACACTATGGCTGCTTTACAGATGAGGAAACGCAAGTCCAGAATTCAGCCACTGCCCAAGGTCCTTCAGTTAGTGAGTGGTGGAATCTGAACTGGTGAGATCCAAATCTAGAACCTCTTCCATTTGAAACGAGGAGTTTGAGGGCAGAAAACTGAGTGACTTAGAAATACTCCCACCAAATTATTTCAGCCTGATGACTTGTCAAGGTATATGTCTGCTTAATACCCAAGATTAATTAGCAGACACTGGTACTTAAAGCAAATGTTTGATGGAAGAACAGGTGATAAATGAGGACAGATTCTAGTCACAAACCCTCATTTGTTGACTACTTCAAAAATCCAGTGTGGCCATATGGCCTCATTCATTCATTCATTCAAGTAAACAAATATTCATTAAATGCCTCTTATGTGCAAGATACTCTAGGGATGCTAGAATTACAAAGAAGAAAAGACAGGTTTATAACTTGCCTCATTTCCCAAAAGACTGGAGCCCATATCATAGCTGCTTCTGACTGATATATAAAAAGAGGTGCCATTTTCATAACTGAAGTTTCTAAATCATAATGTAAGGTTGTAGGATGTAAGAAAACCCCTCAGCAGTAATCTAATTATTAGGAGCAGTTAGACCTAGGACAGGTAACCCTTAGTGCACAAATGGTCCTCAGCCCTATCTGCTTCTCCAGAGAGCTATCTTGCCAAACCCTGAGGGAATGAATAGAGCTGTCCTTGAAAGAGAAAGATGCCATTTCCAGCATCTTTTCTAGATATTGGTGCTTTTTCAGCATCAGTTCAAAACATACCTTCACAGCTGGGCGCAGTGGCTCACACCTGTAATCCCAGCACTTTGGGAGGCTGAGATGGGCAGATCACCTGAGGTCAGGAGTTCGAGACCAGCCTGGCCAACATGGCAAAACCCCGTCTCCATTAAAACAAAACAAAAAAACACAAAAATTAGCTGGGCATGGTGGCACATGCCTGTAGTCCCAGCTACTCAGGAGGCTGAGGCAGGAGAATCACTCAAACCTGGGAGTCGGAGGTTGCAGTGAGCCGAGATCGTGCCACTAAACTCCAGCCTAGGCAACAGAGCGAGACTCCGCCTCAAAAACAAACAAACAACAACAACAAAAAAAACCTTCATTAAATAAATTACAACACATCTGTACCATGGAACCCTGTGCAGCTGCCAAAAGCAGTGAGGAAACTCTTTCTTAGTGTTATGGGATGTATAACTCTAAGACTACAAATGTATTGTTCAATTTAAAAAGTGAAAAGGTGCAGAACACTGGATATGGTGTGGTACCATATGTGTAAAAAAGAAAAAGAGTATATATACTTAATATATGTATAGAGTATCTCAGGAAGGATACCCAATACACTGATAAATTATTTTCCTGGAAAGGGAATAGATGCCTGGGATGCACAGATGGGAGGCAGGCCTGGAGGCTATTCATTGTATACTTTTATATATTTTACATTTAGGACCATGTGTATAAAAAAAACCCTCCCATTATTAAGGAGACAATTTTAGCTCACTAAATCTTGCTGCGAATCTGCTCGAATCTCTTAAGTTCCCATCTTACTTTATCTCTCTGTAGTATTTAACATTGTTGCCTACTCCCTTCTTGAAATTCTTTTTGGGCATCCTTTGCTTAAAGTACCAAGGTAGAGTCATTTGATTTGCAGTCTGTTCCTGTCATTCCTGAGGTCCAGACATTCTGGATAAGAATCAAGGTAAGAAAAAGTGCAACTGGATGTGTCATACAACACGCTGTAGAGAAGCACCTTGTTTTCTACATCTTGCCATCAGTGAAAACCTAAGAATGGATATTCGTTACTAGAAGAGTAATTACTAGTGTCAATATTTAAAAATATTCGTTCACAGCTGAGCACCTGGAGTCAGATTGCCTGAATGCAGTCCCAGCCTCATCTCTTATTAGCTGTGTACCACTGAGCAGGGTACTTAATCTCTGTAAATGCCAATCCCCTCATCTCTAGAAAAGGGGACATAATTGTCCAACCTCAAAAGGTTGTTATGCATATAAGATGACCTAATCCATAAAAGTGCTAGAGACAAGATTTGAAGCTCAATGCACGTTAGCTCTTACTATGCCTGCATGTAAGTTCCATGAGGGCAGGGCTCCGTGATGCACCCAGAGCTGCTAACTGTTCCCAGCAGAGGACTTACTGCCCCAGGTGCTGTGGGTCCTCTTGGAGTGGTTCTTACCGACAAGAATCCAGGCACCAGACTCTTGACAGTGCAACCATGAGAGTCTATGTGGTTATATCAGAAATGTGCCTAGACCTTTCTAATGCCTCAGAGGCTCTGGTGCCATTGTTGCTCAAGAAGCCCGCTACGGTCATGACGCAAGCTCTAGAGTGTAGGTGTGAGATTCTGCAGATAGCAAAGCAAGATTCCATGTCCCATTCTGCACCTTTCCTAGGCTGCTAAAAGTTGGGGTCAAAGGTGCAGCCCCCGTGAGTGAGCAATCACATTTCTCCCTCAGGAAGGCAAGTCTCTCTCACTAGACTTTGTGCAGGCAGTGGTTCAAATATCTCCTCTCTGAGTGCCGCAAAATGTTCCCAGTTGTCCTCAAGCTGTAGTAACAGGAAGAGAGGAAATAAGTCAACCAGTTTTCTCGATCCTAGGTGTCATGTGTGATTTGCTTTGCCTCCCGCCTGGCACAGCGTCTGACATGATCACCCCCATGTGGTCTGCATGGGAGATGCGTGCCAGCTGTCACCTTTCTCCTGGCTGCCCTCATGGCCAAGTGTGCCAGTGTCCACCCCCGTGCATCTGCCTTGGCACAGACTCTGAAGCCTGACATGACATCAAGAGGCTGCTCCAGGTCTCAACAAACACCAAGACTCAGCCTTACAAGTCCTGGCACCCAGGCTCCCAGAATTCAGAGAAATGTTTGGTGGCCAACAACCCTGATGCTGATAGCAGAGTGGATGTCACCTCAGAGACAATCCTGGGGCTCCAGAATGCTTCATGCTCAGGTTTCTAATGAGCTGCTTGTGTTTAGAGGAAAAGCAATCCAAAGGTGAGGGTGAAGGAGAGCACTCTGAATCTGAAGCTGGTAAAAATAAAAATATTTTTCAAAAAGTAAAAATAAACTCCCGCCTCAAAGGGGCCTTTGTTCTTTGTCCTCTTCGGGGAATCGCCCTTCTCACCTAATGTTTTATTTTCCTCCTCTACTTGCTTACACACTCGACCTTTCATATCAATAGGAAACTCCATAATCTGATAGATTTACTCCAGATAGATCCAGAAAATTGATGTCGAGGGAGAAGCAACATTGAAGTAGTTTTTCCCAACTCCTTTCAAATATTCCAGTTTAATTTGCCTTCTCACCAGGGTGCCCCTGTGCACACTGACTGGGGAGCTGTAGCCTCATATCATTTGACCCCTGGTCCAAGTCCCCATCTCTGCCTGTAGGAACTATGTCTTGTTTTTTAAAATTATGAGGACATTATTTCATTTTGAAAAAGAGAAAGAAGGGATGGTAGTAAGTGAATAGAGAGCGTCGGGGCTGACGTCAAACCAGGTTTGGGAGCCATTGCCTTAGTATTCTCTGAGATAGAAGCTTCTGAAACTTAGAAAAGCTTGGGAATGGATCTCCCAAACCAACTGCTCAAACTACCCCTATCACCCTTCCACCAACCAGGCCTCCACCCAGGCCAGCAGTCCTTCAGGGTCAGGGTTATATTTGATGCATGAGACAGTTGCAGCCGTCATAGGACAGCCAGGCCAGACGATAAGAAAGCTCAGGAAATTCCACCTCATTTGCAAGTCCAACTTCAGACACTGTTCTTCTTGTCATCATTGTAATGGTAGCAATTTGGTTTGAAGGAAATGAGCATCATCGGCGAGCAGGTGGTTCTAGGACTGCTGGTGTGTGTGTTGCGGCAGAAGTCTTCCTGCAGAGGAAGCCTCACCAATTCTTCAAAAGTCTTTGTTTCCATGGAGCTACTGAGGGTCCTGACAGTGTTTATGAGCTCCACTTACTGAAAAGCATCTCCTGTGTAGCATAGCATGGTACATGTGTGAACAGAATCCCTGGATGACTTCATGCAATACATAGGCCTTGTGTATGAGGTCCCACTAGCATCCTCCCGGATGAAATGTGTGCACGATCCCATCAGGCAACAGACACTAGGAATGCTTAATCAGCACAGGAAAACTGATGCATCAGATTGCATCCTTTTGCCTTCTTTGGATTAAATCCAAACCTTCCTTTTGCCTGGCTGGTGTTTTTTCTGGTGCCCCATATACCTACAGAAGTGGCCCATGGTCACTGGGTATGCAGAGGCCACAGCAGGGCTCGAGATTTCACGTCCTTTAAGTTTCAGTAGAGATTTCAGCTGAGTACAAAGGAAAATAGAAAATCAAAACATCCTGAAAAAGTTCTGCCTACTCTTAACTACAGGGTACATGGTTCTGTAAGTTATATCAGCTACATATGCATACACACACAAAATAAATAACAAAGATCTTTCATGGAATTCCTCCTCAACAAACTTGCACCTCATGTAAGAGTTGCTAAAGCAATGAAAGCTGAACACAGACCACCTAAAAAGCCTTGAAAATGTTAGTATGATCAGTAACCAGCGAAAGTGGAAATTACTCAAGGAACTGAATATGTGTATATAATGTGTGTGTGTGTGTGTGTGTGTGTGTGTATACACACATTTAAAATGTATATGCACAAATGATGTATATATGTGTGTATATATATCTGAATATTTATACTAGGTAGGTAGGTAGATTAGATAAATTAGACAGATGATTACAGAGATAGAACCAGAGAACAATAATTTCAAAGCAGCGCTGGGCAGAGATGGAAATAATGGTTGCAGCAATCATTTGTTGAGCATCTCCCACACAACAGGAACTGGCCAAGCACTTTACACATGTGTCCAGGGGTTGCAGCTGGACAGTGGGGAGGATTTCAGCATGCTGACTGTGGCGTTGAAGCACCACCCTGCAAGAGTTCCATGTGCACAACACAGCCACTGCCTCCTTGCCTGTACCCAGCGCCTCCTCGGATTCCCCTGAGCCACATGAGAGAGAACAGAATCCCTGTCTACAGTCTGTTCAGACGCGGGTAATGAACAAGAGTGGGAGCCATGGAGATGCTTGAGGAGGAAAATCACCATTAAGTGAGGAAGAGATTTAGGAAAATCAGGCTTCTGGGGAACCTCTGGGGATCCTGGAAAGGAAGGGTTCTGGGGTAAAAACAGACTGTGTCACTAAAGCCCAAGCCGCTCTGCGGGAAGTACCCTGTTGGAAGGACGCAAGGTGGTTAAAATGGAAGCCATGCTGCCACTGTGGGTTCTGCCCACCTCCAAACCAGAACTGGTCATAATGGGGAAAAATTTCCTTCTGGACGGAGAGAGGAGTTCAGTGAAAAGATGGCCAGCAGGCTGGAAGGAAGACACCAAAACCACATCAAAAGAATGAGAGTCACAGGAAGCAGCCTGGACAAAGTGGAGGGGAAGCTCAGGCCTCACTGGGGACTTCAGAATAGCCACAAGAACAGGGAAGACTGAGGGCCCCATCTCTGCCCTCAGGGGACATTAGAGGCATTAAGCAGCGGACCACATTGTACACTGAGCTGCTGAAGCCTGAACATTCCAGCTCCATACTCCGCTCCCTCTGCCTCCACAACCACCCCACAAGGTAGGCACTCACACACCCATTTTGCCAGCAAGGAGAACCGAGGCGTGGAGAGGTTTTTCCACCGCCACCGGTCTAGAAAGGAAGTGGTAATCCTGGGGTTGGAAGCCGAGACTGTGACTCCAAGGACTGCTCTTCCCTGCATTGCCCGTCCACTTAGCAGCATTTGGGTTACCTGGACAAAGACCCAGACATGTGCGGGCAGACAAGTGGAGTGTCCCCGTGAGCTCTGTGCTCCCATAGCTGGTTGACGACGGGAGGTGGAGTCTGACATCATGGCCATCCTCAATCCTTTGCATGTGATATACGTCACCTAGCGTCAGCCTTGGCGTGACACTAGGCTCATTATCTTCCGGTCACAATAAAACTGCCCCAGCAAAAAGTTTGAGTGCCTATCTTGTTTGATCCTCACTGAGAGAGACTGTCGCACTTGCGGGCCCTGTGCCCCTAAGCATGTTCCGGAACTCATCACCTTCCACTGTAGCCATTGGCAATTGGACCCAGTGGCACTTAAACCTATCAGCTGGCATGGGACAGTCCCAGCCCAAGAGGAGAATCTCATATTTGGAAGTGGCTGAGCCAGTAGATCCTCTCTCTCAAGGAGTCTGGGGACAGGGTACGCAGAGAGGAGCAGTAGTTAGGAGAAGGTATAAAGCAGAATGCCATTCGGAGCAACCGGAACTAACAGGACTCAGAGTGACTGAATCCAGCTAATAGTAGAGTTAGAGTTGATTTAGGGAAGTCCAGACTCTGAGGGGAGATGTTAAAATCACAGCATCCTCACTGACCTTTCAGGACTCATGAGTCCTGTCTGCAGGATTGTTCAGGGCTCCCATGGGATTGGCAAGATGACTGTAATCTGGGTCTATGTGAATCCTCACAGTGAAGCCATCCAATCTCTGACTCAGTCAGAGGGGGAGTCTCTGATCATGCAGCTAGCAACCATCAAAAGAATTACCCTGTTTTTGTTTTTTGTTTGTTTTTGGGGGATTTTATTGAGACAGGTTCTCTGTCACCTAGGCCAGAATGCAGTGACTCAGTCAGCTCACTGCAGCCTCAAATTCCTGGGCTCAAGTGATCCTCACACCTCAGCCTCCCAAGTAGCTGGGACTATAGGCATGCACCACCACACCCAGCTAAACTTTTTATTTTTATTTTTTGTAGAGACAGAGTCTCACTATGTTGCCCAGACTAGTCTTGAACCCTTGTCTTCAAGTGATCCTCCTGCTTCAGCCTCCCAAAGTGTTCGGATTACAGGTGTGAGCCACCATGCCCAGCCAAATTACACTGTTAAACCAATCAACTGGGGTTAGTTTTTGTTTTATGGAAATATTTTGGGAATGGTTGCTTCTTCTAATACAGTCTTGAGACTCAGCAGCACTAAAGAGGAAAGCAAACAATAGCCGCAGAGAGCAGTGCTTCCTGGGATCACCTCTGGCTTGGCTTTTCCATGCTGCTGTTGCCTTGTTGGTATTCTTGGTCCCCAACCCCGTCTCATGAGCACTCCTTCTTAGCCTCCACGTCTCCATCAATTTATACACACTCATGAACTTGTTTCTTATCTGACAATGAGATTCTAACACTCCTGGGAGTTGGGCAGCAAAAAGCACTGATAACAAACTATTACATTAGCTGGAGCCTTCCACTGCCATCTTGAGGACACTGTTATGTCTCTGTTGGCTTTTGTCTAATTCCCTGGGCAAATCAACAGTCACACAAAGGCAATGGTGGTCTGGCCACCTCTCCAGGCTCTGCAGAATATCCCATGCTATTCAAGGTTTGCCATCAGAGTTTTTACTCTCTGCTAAATTGGAGCAAACACAATTCTGCTTTCCCAATTCCAAGGCACACTGCTGGCCTTAATCTATAATCATGTTGTACTTTTCTCATGCCTGGGACTTGGGATGGCTTTGGGAATAGGAAAATCTCTGAGCCCTCTGGTTTGCTGCTGTTATTAGAAAGGCCTTAATGTATTTAAAACTCGATTTTTAAGAAAACAATGTTTCTTCAGGTGTGAGACTATTAATGTGTTATTCCTAAGAGACTAAAGAGTATTCATTCTCCTTACCACATCCAATCTTGACATCTGTGACAGAATCTAAACAACAAAGGTCTGTAATATACAAACTTACCCACGCGTTAAACCACAAGATATGAACTAAGCTGTGAGCTACTCTAGAATAGTGTGAAAGTTTTATTCATCTCAGTTTCCTCACAACCTAGCATGATGCCTGATACATGAAAAAGCCTCAAAAATGATTGAATGACAGAGGGAGAGAGAAAGAGAAAAGGAGAGAGGGCTGAATGAATGAACAAGCCATGAAACCATATATCAGAACCATGAATTTCACATTATAAATCTCCCAGACATATCCATTGCCAGGTGAAAAGATGTGCCTATCGTATTCCTGGCTTTTCCTGACTACCACAGTCTTCTTTGGGTCAGATAATCCACTGGAAGTGTAAATTCCGTGATGTAAAGAAAAACGGCCAAAATCATCAAAGTCCTCAGCCACCAAGCAGGACAAGAACTGAACCTATTTGTGTTTAAAGCAATGTGGCTATCCTCTTCGTGTTTTTAAGGATGCTGTTTGAAGACGTCACTGGGCTGCGCGGCCTTCCTGCGTGTCCTCTTAAATACCCCCACCCATTGCTCTGAGTTATCCTAGAACAGAGCCTACTCTGGCTATAATAAGCACATGAATTACTTTTTTGAGATGGAGTCTCGCTCTGTCACCCAGGCTGGAGTGCAATGGCGCGACCTCGGCTCACTGCAACCTCACCTCCCGGATTCAAGCAATTCTCCTGCCTCAGCCTCCTGAGTAGCTGGGATTACAGGTGCCCGCCACTACACCTGGCTAATTTTTGTCTTGTTAGTAGAGACGGGGTTTCACCATGTTAGTCAGTCTGATCTAGAACTCCCAGCCTCGGGTGATCTGCCCACCTCAGCCTCCCAAAGTGCTGGGATCACACGTGTGAGCCACCGTGCCCGGCCATGAATTACTTTTAAGCTAACATTTGAATGTTAAATTATGTAGGGGAAACTTTTTTTTTAAAGTGACTCTTACTAGCCAAACTAGCTCTTTTTTAACAGTTGGCAACATCATTATCTAGTGTTTCCAATGTGGCTAAAAAATTGTACACATTGCACTTTCAACTGTTTCACTGAAGTTCAAAATCAACACTAACATGCAAGATAAAAACTAATTTTTTATTGAGAAGATTTCCACAGAAGTCAGATGTCTTTGAATTAGATATCCAGTAGGAATGACCTTGAGAACAATAGAGACCTTCAGCTCTACCCGATCACTACCAGCTGAATGATATTAGGTAAGTAAAGTTGTGTCCAAGTTGTCAGAAGGCCAATATAATTACCTGGAAAAGGATGTTAATTTCTCACAATGAAAATGGGCAAGCAGATCGCCCCTCAAGGAGTTTGCATTCTAGAGAAGGGAGACAGAAAATAAGCAATAAAGTTGACAAGTTACCTATTATGTTAAAAGATTATAAATTCTGGCCAGGCACGGTGGCTCACACCTGTAATCCTAGCACTTTGGGAGGATGAGGCAGGCAGATCACTTGAGGCCAGGAGTTCGGGACTAGCCTGACCAACATAGCAAAACCCCATCTCTACTAAAAAAAAAATATAGATATATAGATAGATAGATAGATAGATAGATAGATAGATACAAAAACTAGCCAGGCGTGGTGGCACATGCCTGTAATCCCAGCTACTGGGGGGCTGAGGCATGAGAATTGCTTGAACCCATGAGGCAGAGGTTGCAGGGAGCCGAGATTGTGCCACTGCACTCCAGCCTGGGTGACAGGGTAAGACTCTGTCTAAAATATATATATATACACATATATATATATTCTATTGGAAAAAGAAAACGTTCTACAAGGTGAGGGCTGAGAAATGTGTCAGGAAGAGTAGTATTAAGTAGTCCAGGGCAGGCTTCATTGAAAGGTCAGGGTTCAGCAAAGACTTGAAGGAGATGAAACTTGGAAGAAACACTGTGAGACTTCTTAAGACCATTTGAGTCACTATGACCTCAGAATCAGAATAAATTGGTCCTCAGGATCGCAATAGAGACACAGGGGCTAATGATAAGAAAAAAACGTGAATCCTAGCAGTTCTGTGCTCTTCAGCAGGGTCAGGTGCAAGCCCTCCTTCTGCACCGCTGTTCAGCAATGCTCCCTGGCCACGCACTCCAGTGCTGTTTGTGAGCCAGGATGCTGAACAGGCGTTTGGATGACATAGGCCCCTCTCCTTCCACTGCCTCTCTAGTGTTTTTAGGTGCCCAGCATTATCCTCCATGGTCAATTTCAAGGCAAGCTTTCTATTAGGTTCATTCTTTTTAAATAAATTTGTATATCTATACTTGAGATGATAGTAATGGTGATAAAAATTGATATCAGGACATACTTCTACATTCACAAAACTGAACTTTGATCTGACAGTTTTACCACTGAAAAGACTTAAACCACACCCACAGTCTATAATGGTTAGATCAAGTGATTACCCAACACTATAAAAATCATTTTAACAATACCATAAGCTTAGATTGACAGTAAGTCTATAAACATCCATGTACTTTGGATTTTACTATATTGTACATTATTCAGACATTGCCTGCATTTGCACATTTTACGAGTATTTTGTAATGTTCTCCCTTGTCTCTGGGTCTCCAACAGATCTGGGTCACCTTAGCCCAAACCCCACTGCTGTTGACTCAGATAGTCAAAAGCCTTCTAGTTCTCTCCAGGTGTTCCTGCAATCTACTTCCTTTCACTAATTCCATGTTCTCCTGTCCATCCTGGCTTCCCTCTTCAATCCATATACATTCAGAGCCCAGCACCTACATGGGTTTTTTTATTGTGGTAAAATATAAAACATAAAATTTATCATTTTAAAGTACACAATTCAGTGATATTTGCAATGTTATGCAATCGTCACCACTGTCTAGTTCCAGAGCTTTTTAATCAGAAAAACAGAAACAGAAATGGCATAACCATAAGCAGTCACTACACATTTCCCACGGGCAATCACTCATCTGCTTTCTGTCTTTATAGATTTGCCTCCTCTAGGCCAGGCGTGGTGGCTCACACCTGTAATCCCAGTACTTTGGGAGGCCAAGGCAGGCAGATCATTTGAGGTCAGGAGTTTGAGACCAGCCTGGGCAACATGGTGAAACCCTGTATACACTAAAAATACAAAAATTAGCTGGGTGTGGTGGCCCACACCTGTAATCTCAGCTACTAGGGAGGCTGAGGCGGGAAAATTGCTTGAACCCAGAGGTGGAGGTTGCAGTGAGCCAAGAGTGTACCACTACAGTCCAGCCTGGGTGATAGAGTGAGACTCTGTCTCAAAAAAAAAAAAAAAGAAAAAAGAAAAAGAAAAAAAGAAAAAACAAGAAAAGAAAAGATTTGCCTTCTCTGGGTATTCCATACGAATGGAATGATACAATCGCTGGCTTTTGTGTCTGGTTCCTTTCACTTGGCGTAATGCTTTCAAGGTTTATCCACATGTAGCATGTACAGTACTCCTTCCTTTCATTGACTGAATAATATTCCATTGTATGGATGTACCATATTTGTGGGTCCATTCATCCACTGATGGACAGTTGGGTTGCTTTCACCTTTTGGCTATTGTGAATGGTGCTGCTAAGAACATTCATGTTCAAGTTTTTGTTTAAACACCTGCTTTCAATTCTTTTATATTAGGTTTTATTTTTGAGCTTCTCACTCCAAGCATGATACAAAGTTGGTGACTTTACTGATGATGTGGGAGATAAGACGGAAGATTCAAGAGGAGTCACATTACAAAGAAAGCTGCCTTCCGTCATCTCTCCAGCTCCAGGTTCTGAGTTTCCTGCAGGGGCCAGAGACAAATCTTCCACCTTTTCACTCAGATTTGTTCTCTTCCCAGTGAGGTCCCTTGAGGTATCAATTTTTACTCCGAAAAGGTTTATCAAGAAAATTCTTATAAACAAAAACAGCCCCCTTGCTGAAAGGAATTCTGCTGAATATGATTTTTTCTTTCATCTGGTTACATAAGGACCTTTGCAGAACTGGCATGGGTCTAGAAGCTGATAAGCCCAAGAAGCCAGAAGGCAGAGAGACCAACAGGGATTTCCTATGGTGAGGGAGATACATTCACTGGCAGCACAGGTAACTATAGGTACCCTATTGATTATCCACATACTAAGAGTCAATGAAATTGGAACCTAAATCAAGAAAAGCATCTTTGGGGTGTCTGATATAGACAGATGCAAGAGAGTATAAAGCTCCCAAACAAATCAAAGCAGTGGGACATTCTGGCTGCTTGGTAGAGGTCTAGGTCCCCAACACATTTCAGTTTGCCCCTGTTCTGGCCTTGTCTCCCCCAACAGACCAACAAGGGATAGGACAAGATCACCAGAAAATCCAATGTTTGGCTGAAATCAGAACAGAGGGGTTACTCAGCTTGTTACAGCTACTGAGATAGAAATGCTCAACATTGTGCATTTAGCTGCAGACAATTTGAACAGTGATTTAGTAGCAAAAAAAGGACATAACTTTCCTGTTGAGTTTAAGTCAATGAACTTATTGATTCCTACTATGTGCTGGACCCTCCATGAAGCATCAGAGATACACTTATGGGAAACAGACATGGCCCATCTCTCAAAGACTTCACATGTAGTAGGGAGGGAAAGACAGCCAAACAAACACTTGCTGTTGTGTAAAACTAAACTGAACACAAGTTGATAGAGAAGATAGAGAAGTACTGGGATGATGGAATAACCAGCACATGACACAACATGAGGGGACTATTGTTTATACATAAGCCATTTCAGGTCAGCCTCTTCTATCTTCTTTGTTGTGGAGCATTTCAAGCCTTTATGATTCTCATGTGATCTCCTGAATTTATTTGCTAACTGGTCTTTCAGCTGCTAGTCTCTCCTTTCTACAGGGTACCCTCCAGTCTGTCACCAGGCTTACTCATATAAAATTCAAACCTGATAATGGTGACCAATCAGAGCATTTTCTATGAGCCAGGCATTAAGTGTTAAAAATTGCTACTATTGTGTGCTGATACATACACAATTCTCATGTGATCTCCTGAATTTATTTGCTAACTGGTCTTCCAGCCACTAGTCTCTCCTTTCTACAGGGTACCCTCCAGTCTGTCACCAGGCTTACTCATATAAAATTCAAACCTGATAATGGTGACCAATCAGAGCATTTTCTATGAGCCAGGCATTAAGTGTTAAAAATTGCTAATATTGTGTGCTAATATTGTGTGTGCTAATATTGCAAATATTATATCATTCTATCCTTATCTTACAAATGAGGAAACTGAATGACAGAGTTAAATAATGTGCTCAATTATCTGACTAGTAAAGTTAGTGATAAGGTAAGTGGCAGAGTAGGATTCAAAACCAGTTGTGTCTGAATCCTATTTTGTACGCCCTTAACTATTACCATACTTTGTCTCCTCTATTAGGAAAAAATATTAGTGGTGTAAAACTGATTTAAACAGAAAAGGGGGTTTATTAAAAGAATACCAAGTGTAGTAGATATAGAAAACTGCTTCAGATGTAGAAAACCACAAGAGAATGTTGTTCCCACCCTAAGAACATGAAAAAAGTAATAATTTAGTTTACAAAACTGTAACTTTTGTTGAGCCTATCACACCACAAGGACCTGCTAAAAGTTGTAGGTACGATGTGTAAACTGAGAAAAAACCTTCAGCATCCTGGACTACTAACAAAGTATAAGGTAACAGCCATTCACCCCCAGAAGAAGTTGAATTCTGTGGTGCACTTAAGGTAACCAAAGGAAGGTAACCAAAGGAAAACAAAACTCAAGCCCAGCTAAACTGCTGACTAGATTGACTCAACTCTCCACAGTAATGGCTTGACAGAATAAAAAGCATGCCCAATTCTGATTTACCTCAGTCTCTTCTGTTCTACACACAGTGTTCAGCAACCAGTGAAAAATTATACAAGTATCACAAAAGGCAAAAAAGAAAAGTAAAAACAACATTTTCAAGATACAAAGCAGTCAACAGAACCAGACCCATAAATGTCCCAGATGTTGAAACTATCAGAATAGAATTTTTTTTCTTTTTTTTTTTTGTGAGACAGGGTCTCACTCTGTCATCCAGGCTGGAGTGCAATGGTGCAATCATGGCTCACTGAAGCCTTGACCTCCTGGGTTCTACCTCAGCCTCTTGGGTAGCTGGCACTACAAGCACATGCGATCACACCTGGCTAATTTTTTTTTAATTTTTTGTAGAAATGGGATCTCTCTATGTTGCGCAGACTGGTCTTCAACTCCTGGGCTCAAGTGATCCTCCTGCCTCAGCCTCCCAAATTGCTGGGATTATAGGTATGAGTCATCACACCTGGCCCAGAATGGAATTTTAAAATAGCTATAAGTAATCTGTTAAAAGCTAGTGGAAAAAGTGAACAACATCCATAAACAGAAGGAAACTTTCAGCAGATCAATAGAAATTAATTTTTTAAATTCAAATGAATATTCTGGAAATTAAAAACACTATATTGGACAGGAAATGTTCCTTTAATAGATTTATCAGCAGACTAAATGCTCAAGAGAAAAGAATCAATGAACTTGAAACAGGTAAGTAGAAATTATGCAAACTGAAGCATCAGGAGGAAAAAGAGTAGAAAATAAGAGCATAGGATTAATTGAAGATGTAAAAGGAAAGGAGATAAAGAATTGGGGCAGAAGAAAATATTTGAAAACATAATGGCCTTGAATTTTTCAAATTAGTGAATCACAGATCTAAGAAGCTCAGAGAACCCCAAATAGAATTAGCAAATTTAAGACACACACTCCCCACACCCAACAGACACATCAGTCAAACTACTATGAATCAATATCAAGAGATCAGCTAGATGGCATCCAGAGAAATATGAAAGATTACATAATAAGGAAGAAAGGTAAGACATACAGCAAACTTTGTGTCAAAAAATATGAATGTCAGAGGATAATAGAAGTGGCATTTTTTATTTGCTGAAAGGAAAAAAAGGAGGAGTTAACACAGAATTCTATACCCAGCGAAAATCTTTCAAAAATAATGACATAAAGGCTTTTTCAGAAAAAAAAATGAATTGCCAGCACTAGTACACAACAAGGATATTAAAGACAAGAAGACTGTGAAGCCAGATGGAAATTTTGATTTATACAAAGAATTGAAGAATCCTGAAGATGGTAAAAAATGGAAGTAAACAAATTTTTACTCTTTTTAAAAGAGTATTGACTGTTTAAGGCAAAACAGTAACTATATATTTTGAGGTTATAACATGTTTGGAAGTAAAAAACAATAGCACAACGAATGGAAGGGAGGAAATAAAAGTATATTGATATAAGATGTTTTAAGGTTAAGAGTGAAGAGTTAAAGATGTACATTGTGAACCCAAGAGCAACAACTTTAAAAAAATATGTAACTTATAAGCAAATAGTAGAAATAAAATGGAATTACTGAAAATACCCAATAACTTCAAAAGAATACAGGAAAAAAGGAGAATAAAAACAAAGAGAATGGGACAAGTGGAAAACTAGCAAGATAGGTAGATGTAAATTAACTGCATGAATGATCACATGAAATGTAAATGACCTAACAATTAAAAGATAGAGATTGTCAGACTGAAAGAAAAATCTATTGACAAGGAGACTATTTTAATATAAAGACATATATATGTTACATGTTAAAGAATGGGAAAAGATATACTATACAAACACTAAACAAAAAGGAGCTAGAAAGACTATATTAATATCAAATAGACATCAGAACAAATAATATTTCCGGAGATAAAGAGAAGCATTAAATACAGATAAAAGGGTCAATTCACCAAGAAGATATAAGAATTCTGAATGCCTTTGCACCCAATAACAAAGCCTTCAAAATATATAAAAGACAACTGATGAAAATCAAAGGAAAAATAGACAAATCCACAACATATCTGTAGATGTCAACACACTCGTTTCTTAGAATTTGATAAAACAAGTACCAAAAAAATATTTGCAGTGATATAGATGACTTGAACAACACCATCAACTAACTTGACCTAAATGATATTAATAGAATCCTCTACACAAAAGCAGCAGAATAAACTTTTTTTTTTTTAGTTCACATGAAACCCTCATAAGGATAGACCATAGTTTGGGCCATAAAACAAATCAAGAAATTTTAAAGGACTGAAATTATACAAAGCATGTTCTTGGAACAGAGTAGAATTAAATGAGGTATCAATAACAGAAATATATTTGGAAGATCCCCCCCAAAGAGTTGGGAACTAAACAATCCATTTCTAGATAACCTTGGAGCCAAAGAAGAAATTACAAATAAATTAGTAAATATTTTCAATGGAATGAAAATGAAAATACAACAAATTAAAATTTTGTGGAATACAGTTAAAGCAGTGCCTGGAGAGAAATTTATAGCATTAATCCCAGCACTTTGGGATGCTAACGCAGGATAATCACTTGGTTGAAGACCAGCCTGGGCAACATGGCAAGACTCTACCTCTACAAAATAAAAATAAAAATAAAAATTAGCCAGGCTTGGTGGTGCATGACTATAGTTCCGACTACTCGGGAGGCTGACGTGGGAGGATCACTTGAGCCCAGGAGTTCAAGGCTTCGGCGAGATATGATCATGCCACTGCACTCTAACCTGGGCAACAGAGTGAAGACTTGTCCCTTAAAAAAAAAGAAGAAAAAAAAAGAAAAAAGGTCTTTAATCAATTATCTAATCTTTAACATTTATTAATTAGGAAAATATCTCTTCTCAGCCTTTTGGATAAGATCAAGTGTTAAAAAACTAAGAAAAGAAGACCAGGTGAAAGAAAAATAGGCAGAAGGGAGGACATGATAAAATAAGAGCAGAAACCATGAAATGGAACACAGAAAATTCATGAAACCAAAAGCAAGTTCTTTGAAAAGTTCAAAATTTATAAACATTTTGTCAGACTGTTCAAGAACAAAGAAGGAAGATACAAACTATAAATATCAGAAATAAAAGAGGAAATATCACCACAGATCCTACAAATATTAAAAGAACAATAAGGAAAAATAAGGAACAGCTTTAGGCCAACTTAGATGAAATGGAGGATTTGTTCGAAATCAATTGTATATACTAACCACAAACAGTTGGAAATTTAAAAACAATATCATTTACAAGAGTCTTATAAAACATGACATACTTACGAATAATTCTAACAAAAAATGCATAATACATGTACATTGATTATAAAACATTACTGAGAGAAACTAAAGACCCTAACAGATAAATCATATTCATAGTTCAGACTATCCAATATTATTATATTTCATAACTTTCTGCAAAGACTTCTTAGGACACAAAAAAATCATGAACTATAAAAAGTTAATTATACCTCTTCAAAATTAAAAATTCAGCTCTTTGAAAAGTAGTATTAAGAAAATAAAAAAGACAAGCCACAGACTTGGAAAAATAGTTGGAAAACAAATACCTGATCATTGACTTGTATTAGGATAAGAATTCCTATAATACAATGATAAATATGCAACACAATAAAAACTGGGCAAAATATTTAACATGCACTTCACCAAAAATGATGTATGGATGCAAATAAGCACACGAAAAGATGTTCAACATTAATAGCTTTTAGGGAAATGCAAATTAAAACCACCATGACATATCACTACACACCTACTAAAATGACTAAAATTATATGACTGACAATCCCAATTGCTGTTGAGGACTGCAGAGGAAATGGAACTTACATGCATTGCTAGTGGGAATGCAAAAGGGTATAATCTTTGGAAAACAGTTTGGCAGTTTCTTATAAAGTTTTACACTTTCCATATGACCCAGTGATCTCATTCCTAGGTATTTACCAAAGGAAAAAAAAAAAAACTTGTATGAATGTTCACAGTATAATAATGTTATGCATAATACCGCAAAACTGGAAAGAAACCAAATGTCCATCAACTAGTGAATATATAAACAAATTGTGATATAACCAAACAGTCTAATAACAACAATAAAAAGAAACTGATATATACAACAACAATTAATCTCAAAAGCACTGTGCTAAATGAAAAAAAATCTCAGACACAACAGCTTCATGCCACATGATCCATTTATATGAGTGTTTGGAAAAGGCAAAACTGCAGGAACAAAAATTCAAATTAGAGGTTGCTGGGAGTTGGGAATAGAGAGGCAGTTGACTTCAAAGCGGCATGAGGGAACTTTCTGGCCTAATGGAAATAGTCTATATTTTATGGTAGTGATCACACAACTATATTTGTCAAAACTCATTGAACTATAAACTTTAAAAGGGTACATCTTACTGTCAGTAAGTTAAACCTTAAAAGACATGACTTAAAAAATTTTTTAAACATCAGGCAGCTCATTGGATCTCTTGGAGAGCTAAAAAGCCAGGTTTGGAGGCTATGCGGCCAGCAGCAATGCCCAAATTCATGCTGAGGAGACGGTGAGGGGAAAGCATCATTGATCCTGCTGGGCAGAGACACACAAGCTTCCATCACCACCCTGAACCACTGGACACTTGACCCTGACCCTCAGGTGTTTGCCCTCTGCTGCTTCTAGAACTGATGGCTCCATCTCCAGAAATGGATCTTGCTTGAGGTCCTTGCTTCTTCATGTCACTATTCAGTCTGGAGTGGAGACATCTGATTGGCAGAGCCTAGGTCACGTGCCCATTCCTGAACTGCGAGGAAGACTGGAAAGAGGGTACATCACACTTTCAGCACCTACAGCAGAGGCCGACTTGCATCATAAGGTGGGGAACTCCTCTAACACAGAAAGCAAGTTCTCCACCATCTCTCCAGCATCATTCTTTGCTGGCCAGCCAAGATAAGTGCAAAATGTTCACTATACCTCCCATATCATGACCCTGATTAAGAATTTTAGATGACAGTTCAATGCTTGAAGGACAAAATCTGAATTCTTTTCTTGGCATACAAAGCCTGACCCTAATCTGTGTTTCTTTTTTTTTTTTTTTTTTTTTTTTTTTTTTTTTTTTTTGAGACGGAGTCTCCCTGTCGCCCAGGCTGGAGTGCAGTGGCGCAATCTCGGCTCACTGCAAGCTCTGCCTCCCAGGTTCACACCATTCTCCTGCCTCAGCCTCCTGAGTAGCTGGGACTACAGGCACCCGCCACCACGCCCGGCTAATTTTTTGTATTTTTAGTAGAGACGGGGTTTCATCATGTTAGCCAGGATGGTCTAGATCTCCTGACCTCGTGATCCGCCCGCCTCGGCCTCCCAAAGTGCTGGGATTACAGGCGTGAGCCACCACACCCAGCTGCCTAATCTGTCTTTCTAACCTCAATGCCTACCTCTCACTCCACCATCTGGTTGGCTGGCCTCACTCAGGAGCTGTTGCTGCCCCTCGCAAGCCCTTTATTTGCATGGCTCTGGGGCTCTGCTATGCTTGAAATATCCTCCTCTTCTGTCTTCATCAGGGAAGCTCCTACTCATTTGTCAAAGCCCACTTCAGGGAAGCCTGCCCAAATCTATGGGCCACATCAACCAGGCCCTCTCCACACTCTGCTCTGTTATAGCATTTAGTAGGTACTAAATTAATAAATGGTTGGTGGGTGAGAATTATCCTTCTCCAAAATCAAAGCAGCAGCTCTTAAAAGCAAGAAGTACTTTAAAATTTAAATAAATACAATTTAAAACTCTACTTTTACAGTCAAAAGAAGTAATGTTTTTGATATTTTCCAGAAATTCTGAACAAACAGATGAACTTTGGCCCAATATCCTTATTTTTCACTGTGTCCTGAAGGTTATCTCTGAGCAAATGAGTAAAGATAAGACGTATCTGACAATTTTCATTAAGCCAAGAAACACAGAGAAATGAAACACACTCAGATCCCAAAGGGGCCCAAGACCAGGTCCAATCTAAGCCTAAGTGGAAATGGGAGCATGGTATGCAGCTGAAATTTGATGTGAAATGCTTCTCAGTGACAACTAGTAAAATCAGCAATTACATTGGAGTTCCTAAATTACTCCCTGCAAAACAAACAAATGAAATATAGCTAGTGGGTACAGCTGATCTGAAACTCAAATAACTGCCTCGTTTTTATTTCTGTCCCCATTGAATGACACAGCCAATGGCACAAGACATGAAGAAGAGGAGTTCCGGGGAAAAGCATGCTGGGGATGACCCCCACCAGAATCCCTGGTGGTGCGGTGGACAGATCCCACTGTCTCCCACATTTCACATCCCCAAATGGTGCCACTGGTACTTATACTAGGTGAGAATTCACTGATCAACTCCGTGTGACCTGGACTTCAAGTCTGCCTTGTATTCCTGTGTTTGGACATTCTTCCCTCTACAAAGGTCCCTTCACATTAATTTATTCTTCTTTCCTTGTTTAAGATGGCAGGGTGCCCTTTGCTTTCTTTCATCTTTGCTTTTCTCTCTACAGTAGCCTCTGAGCATATAAGGTTTTTGAATTCCTTATTTGTGGATTTTTAAATTTTCGGTTTCATTTTTCAGGTTTCTTGAAGGCTGTGTGAAGCCCTCCACTCTCCCCACACATATTACATGTTGCCCTCTTTCTAGAGGGGCTCCAGTAATGCTAATTTCACCTGACAGGCAACAAGTGGAAGCTGATGGCCAGAAGGTCACAAGAAAAAAAAACTGGAGAAATTGTATTCAGCCAGGTCAAAAAAAAAGTCATGGTGGTCATCCGGAGAGGCCAGAGGCACCAGTCAGGAGCTGGAGTCACTGCTGCAAGGACCCCACCACCTCCTCCCACCCAACAAAGGAGCTCCATGGCTGCCATGCTAGATCACCCCTGACCGTTCACCTCACAGGGCCTGAGAACAGCTCTCAGGGACAAGAGAAATGATCTAAGGTACCCAGTTCCCAACAACCATTCCTAAGAACTTGCAGAGCAGAATGTTAAAAACAACCTTTTTTTTTTCTACAAGGGAGAAAGGCTAAAGTCATTAGCAAAGGAAAATCTCAAGAGATATCATTGCTTTCCCAAACAACCTCTCTAGGCTTGGGAACACATACCGTACCCATTTTGTACCCAGAGAGAGAGAGAGAAAAAAAAAAAACTTTTTATAACCTTACAAAAAAGTTACATAAACAACACTATCCTCTTTGTTGCTTTCTTTTTTTAAAAGGGGTTGTTTTGAAAATAGATAATTTTACTGATTCCGGAGCCAAGAATTGTTGCTCTGTCTTAAGGAACTGTTGGATGCCCTTTTTGGCAGGATTGTTTGTTTGTCTAAGATTATGCATGTTTGCTGGGGACATAAAAATGAGCTCAGGATTGGAGATGGCTGCACCTGAGTGGCGGGGCTTGTTGGAGCCGATGCATGGCCTGGCTCCCAAGGAGCTCCTGCCTGCTCACTCACAATTCCCTCAAATCAAACCTCTCCCTATCCAGGATACAAAGATGAGTGGGGAGGGCGGGGGCGAGGGGAGAGGTTAACAATGTCTTTACAGTCATACTCATCAAGTAAGTGTCACAAAGAAAAGGAACATAAATCCTGAAGTATGGGGAGGCAGGAAGGCAAGAGGAAAGAGAAGATGAGAGAAAAGGTAAACCATCGGGTAAAACTCAGCAAGATAGAGCTGGTTGTTTTGAGGCGACTATTTCCTGTAAGTGGACATACCACAGAAAGAAATGGAGAAAGCTCCAAGAGCACGGTGGTTTGAAACGGGTACACGCAACAGGAACCTGGTTAGTTCCACTTCTACATTCCTGACTCAATCTCAACAGAGATGTTTCCGATTATCCCAAAGGAAATGGTTAGAGAATCAATGCAGCACCGAAGTATGGTTACAATTATGCAAAATAATAGGATACAACCTAGTGGGAAGGTCTTCAACAGTGCATGAAGCTTATGCTTTGATGCAAATCTGCTTGAAATATAAGGATAGAAACTTCTTCAAATGTATGCTCCTTGGTATAAAAACACAAAAGCTCTGAGACAGTTAAACTTCCTTCAAATAAGAATGCATCCCACGGATGTTCTTTGTGAGACAGATATCTACAAAAAATTCTCCTACTAAAATCACAAGCCTCTGCAGTTTTTTTCTCTTGAATTATGGCCACTCAGAATAGTAATTTTGATATTAAATGCTCCTCCCTAATAAAAGGACAAAAAGCAAAATCTTTGAGGAGTTATATGTAGTGTTTAATACCATTTGTTTTCAAACCTGTGTTTTCAATGTTCAATTCTTCTATGCAATACCACCTCAAAACTAACCAAGTTCTTTCCTTAAATATTGAAACATCCCCAGGGTAGAGACTTGTTCTCTGCTCTGATCCCACTGCCAAGCACAGATCCAAGCTCATAGTGGTGCCCAACAAATATTAGCTGAATTATCATTAATTCATACTTTGTGTATGAACAAACATACACAAAGTTACAACCACTTTCTGGGCAATGCCTTTCCTACAAATATTCTTCAGAGTAATTTTCTGAGCGGAGGGGAATGTTCTTAAATTGGCACATCAGGATTTAGAAAATGAGCTGAAGCTCTGCACTTGTTGATTTACAAAAACACGTCGATTTTATTAGTTTTGAGCTGAAAATCAGCTTGGGAACATGAGAGGAGGCAGAAACGTGGGCTTGTTGATTCTTTAGAGACCTGCCAGTCAGCAACTCCTGTACCTCAACACAAGTGCATTCTTTGCTATTTTTCTTGGAAAACCTTGACAGTGTGCAGTGAGGGTGTCTTATCAGCTTCCAGGTAGAGGCAATGTGCCCAGCCACTTCAAACAGGGAAGCGGGGCAGGGGAAGGGACACCAGAGAAATGGAACCCAGGATGTGCCTGCTGAGGCTAGGGGCTTTGCAGATACAATATCCGACTATTTCCATGTCACCTGACTTCCCACTGTCTCCTTTGATTTTTAAAAGACTTAGTAGCACATATAACGGAGGGTTTTGTTTACCTTTAAGTATGAAATAACAGAAAAACAAACAAACGAATAGGCTGCACTACCTCTTCTCACTCTATCAAACCTGTGTTGACTCTTTGTGATCACATTGATTGAAACAAGAAAGAAGAAAAAAAAAAGATCATCCTATAGTCTAAAACAGACATACCTTCTATGTTTAAAAGGCTGTTTTCTACTGCTCTGAGATCATCCAACTCTCTCCCTTTCTTCTCTAGTGTTCAAGATTAATGTTCTCTTCCTTTGTCCCTTCCACATGCCGTGCTGGAAGAAATAAGGACCAAAACAAATACAAAAGGGTAGGGAAGAGTCTTGTTTTGTGACTTTTGTTTTGGTCCTTATGTCTTCCCACATTGCTGCTGAGGCTCTGGGATTTCCCCGAGGACTGCTCTTCTGCACATATTGTTTTTCTGACACCTTTTAAGTGGCTGTGCCCTTTCACACCTAGAGAAAACTGTTCCTGTATCCCTTCAAAATCTACGATAATCTCTACAACCTTCTGAAAACAAACAACAATGTATTCTTTGATATGTCAATAGGGTTCAATTTAGCAGTGATTCACATATGGTACTGCATTTTGAACTGGTGACTTCCATTTGTGAGCTACTGCTGAATACTCATCTCTTGAATTCTCAAACATAATTTGCTGTTTTCTGTGCTGTTGAGAGGCATAACCCTCTTTCCATCTAAGTCTTCAGCACAGACTGGAGGTCATCCTCCTTTCCTCTCTAAAATCCCAGGAAAAGCTCTCCTGGACTTTGGCTTCTCAATATCAGTGGTTGAGAAACATGCTGTAGCTTCAAACTACAAAATAGTTGGGGTGATCTTAGCTATATAACAGGCAGAGGAAAATGGCAAGGAATGCCAAGACTATGAAAGTTTTCAACACAATTTGCAGTATTAGAATCTGAGAGCTACGAATTAAATTTGTTCATGCATTCACACACTGATTCACACATATTCTGAGTGTATAATTCATTGCCATACAATGTGCTAGAGGCTGAGGAACGTCCTCTATGCTACATTTGCCAGCATAAAAATCTTCCCCACCATTGTCTGATTTCATGTGTGAAATGTAGAGTGCTTCCTCTAACTTCATCTGTCCAACAATATTATGGTGTAATAGATTATATTTAATAAGTTCTATGCCATATCCCTTGGGGGTACAAGTTTGACTGCATATTTCCAGACAGTGGGGAAGCAGCTTTCTCATTAGATGAGGAGATTGTCAAGGCACTCTGCAACTGCCCTGTTTTGTTGACTGTATACAGACTTCAAGACAAACCACTGACCCAGGCCCATTCAAAGCATCAGCTTGTTAACAAGGACTGAAGCCCAAGTCTGGTTATGGTCACATAGCACCCAGATCATGTAAGGACTGGGCCAGCAACACTTCCCGGTAACGCAGAGCTAAATGGTCCCACTGAACTCTGCTTCACAGACAGTATTCGGTCCAAAACACATGGGTCATCCAAGAAATATGAAGCCAAATTAAGGCGGCCAGAATTCCCTTTGAAAGGCCAGCAGACAGCATGGCGCCAGCATGGCATCAAGCTCCAGACCAACATCAACTTCTATAAATCAGTGGTAGGAGGATCTAACTTCTTTTAATGTAGGATAAAACTTGGACCCACCACAGATGTCACATCTGACTTCTTCCTCAGGCCCTCTAGTGTTCCCGGTCAGCACTCCTGAATATTAAGTAACAGATCCAAAGTCACTTAAATCCTGGGATGTGATCAGTCCACCAAAACTGGAGCCACATTTTACTGTAGTGTAAGTCCATAGACCACATAGTCACAACACAAAATCACAGCAGCAGTTACCTTGGGGGGTTCCTAGCTGGGAGAGGGCATGTGAGTGTTTTTTAGATGGTGGTAATAGAAGAGAGAGACACACACCGTGCAATTACTAACTAGCACAGTGTCGATTTCACATTAATGTTTTCTTAGAAAGAAAACGAGAAAGTTTGGGTTGGGTTTCTTGATTTTTTTCTGGATATTTTAGGTGTTGGGTAAATCTTAAACACCATTATTCCGCTAAATACCTCCCCACCCTCCTCCTCTTCACCTCACTGAAACAACTGATGACTAAGAGCAAATATCCAGCCAAACCAATAATGGTATCATCAAATTGTGGGGACAAGGGCTTACAAGCACACCTGTGCTGTATGATTTTTTTTAAGGTAACTGGACAACAATCACACACTAATAGAGGAAGGATTCCAAATTTCCAGGTTTTCATTCCAAGGCTTTTTCTGCTAGGTAAGAGCAAAGGAAAGATATTTAAAATGAAGCCAGGCTGAACTACTTTATTGATGAGGCAGTCCTAATAAAGCCTGAAACCCATAAGATTTAAGTGATAAACTATGAAAGTAAAGACTTTCAGCTTAGTGTTACGGGGGGAGGGAAAAGAAAGTGCACTAATTAAGACATACCACCCTGTTATATTCAGGTGGTCCATTCAGGAATCACAGTTCTTAACCAAAAAGCAAGGACATTTACTTTTAGAAACATTCCAACAGAGTGAAATTCAGTACAAAAAAAGAGACGGGGAAAGTGGAAAAACAAGTTCACAAGTTTGGTGCTTTGAGCTTGTATTGAATTCATAATTTTGAAAAACAAATGTATGATATTTCATACATAAACCTAAAACTCATGGAATGGTAGCACACACTCACAGTGAAAAACAGCCAAAGATAATGGTAAGCTATAAACTCCATTAGAGTTCATCTAGTTTACCCACCCCACCTTTATAGATGGAAAGAACAGAAGCCATACCTAGGGATGAGGACAAACCATAGGTTTGGCAAGGACAGTAACCTTAATGCCACACAAAAGCCTAACACCTTTGAGATGGCCTCCTCGCCACACTGGCTTTGCCATCTTTCCAAAAACTACATCTGGTTTGTAGAAGACTTGAAGATGGTCCAGAGAAGAGCAACACAACTTTCTGGAAGAATGGAAAGAGAAGCCACAAAGAAAGGATGAATAACAAATGGAACAGAGCAAACAATTCCGTAGCAGATGCAGTTACTAGGTAATGGTTTCTCTGATATCCCCAAAGGGTAAATATATGCCTCTCTACATACCTATACAATTGTTTTTTGAGCATCTTAATCATTTTTAAATGTACAGTTCAGTAGCATTAAGTGCATTCACAGTGTTATGTTACCATCACTACCATCCATCCACAGAGCTCTATTCATCTTGAAATATTAAAACTCTGTGACCATTAAACAATAACTCTTTTTTCACCCTTCCTCCAGGCCCGGCAACCACCATTCTACTTTCTGTCTCTATGAATTTGACTACTCTAAGTACTTCATATAAGTGGAATCATACAGTATTTATCCTCTTGTGACTGGTTTTTTCACTTAGCTTAATGTCCTCAAGCTAAAGGATTGTTTTTAAGAAGGCGTTTAACAAGGATTAGCTGAGGATTCTCACCAGCTGTTTTCCATCTTCCATAAGAACAAAGAAAACAAGTTTAAATTGTTAAAGAGAAAGTGAGTTTGAATTGCAAGGGTAGAAAAAGTTGTCAGATGCTAGAATATAAACTTTATAGACATCTTAGAGAAGTGCTATAAACAATAATGTGTTTACATATATTGAGTTGACTTATTTCCTTATAAGATCTCTTAAAAATTATGAAATGAGGTCAGGGACAGTGGCTCACGCCTGTAATCCCAGCACTTTGGGAGGCTGAGGCGGGAGGATCACTTGAGCCCATGAGTTCCAGACCAGCCTGGGCAACATAGGGAGACCCCCCCCTCCCGCTGCCCCACCCCACACACACACCCATCTCTGCCAAAAACAAAAAATTTAGCCAGGTGTGGTGGCACACAGCTACTCTGTGGTCCCAGCTACTCCGGAAACTGAGGCAGGAGGACTGCTTGAGCTCAGGAGGTCAAGACTACAGTGAGCCATGTTTGCTCCACTGCACTCCAAGCTAGGCAACAGAGAGATCCTGTCTCAAAAAGTAAAGTAATGAAATGAATTCAATAAGCCCCAACTGAGCCTTTGATTGTAATGGTGTGGGCACTACTAAAGAAACAGAACATATCTGTTTCCTTGAAAGACAAACAATCTACTCTGGGAAACAATATAACTTTCTATAAAATTCTTATGGTACTTAACCATTTTTAACATAATCCAAGGATAGCAAATAGCTTTCAACTTCAAGCTCCAACTCTCATAAACTGTTAGAGGCTGCCTAAAGCCCTGTGATGAATTCTGCGTCCAAGACAGAGCACAGAAAAGACAGTGATTAGCTATTGTTTGTCGTGGGTCAAGAAGAGACCGGCAAGGGTTAGGGTGCCATAATCTTGCCATTCTTGTCAAAACTCTTATACTTTGTCAAGCATTATTGTTGCTTAGCACTGTTTAATACTTGTTTCATGTTTCTCTGGCTACCGTGAGCTTAACAATGGTCATTAGTACTGCATTTTCTACTTATTTAGCATGCCCATCATATGCACCAGATAAATATACAATGTGACGAACAGGTACCAAGGCAATTACCTCACCCATTTACCTGTCCTGGGATCCTATCTTCCCTTTTATTTTTTTGGTCTTTGTTCCGTCAATATTCCTTCCCTTTCCTTCATCTTTACCCTTTCCTTCATCCTTTCTTCCTCTTTTATCATATTCTTTTCAAGAGTCAGTGACTCTTTCCCGCATAGCATATGAACATGCTTCACCTCTTCCATAAGTGGAAAGCAGCTGCCATTCCTAGGCCTGTGTGTTTGCGACTTCTAGGCTATCTTTTCTCTTGTCCTTCACAGTGAAACATAAATACAGCGTTCTCAACCGGCTGCCGGGAGGTCTTCATCACCCACCTCCTCTTTCAAGCACTGCAATCGGGGCGTTACCTCATGTAAGCAGCTGAAACTGTTTTAATCACCATTTATCCATTAGTGCCCAAATTCAATGCACTCTTTTTTGCCCTTACAGAGCTTGCTATCTGTAGCATATCAGATGCCCTTAACCCCTTCATCCTCCTCAGAATTATTTCATCCCTTGACTTTGGTTACTTACATTCTCCCTGGTTATTTCTCTTCCCTCTCTGGCTGCTCCTGACCACAATTAGAGTAGCCGCGTCTCCAAGAGTCAGTACCTCTTCTCCTCTCACCATGCAAACACTTTCTGAGCATTCTCTTCAAAAACCGTCACTTATCTCTGATTATCCAACTGTCTCCTACATAATCCAACTGGATAGTCCCCATACAGAATTTTTTTTTTTTTTTTTTTTCTGAGACAGAGTCTCTCTCTGTCACGCAGGCTGGAGTGCAATGGCACGATCTCAGCTCACTGCAACCTCCGCTTCCCAGGTTCAAGTAATTCTCCTGCCTCAGCCTCCCGACTAGCTGGGATTACAGGCGCCCACTAACACGCCCGCTAATTTTTGTATTTTTAGTAGAGACGGGGTTTCACCACGTGGCCAGGCTGGTCTCAAACTCCTGACCTCAGGCTATCTGCCCGCCTCGGCCTCCCAAAGTGCTGGGATTACAGGCGTGAGCCACTGCACCCGCCCCGCACCAGCCCGCATACACTTCTGTCTCAACGTATCCATAATTAAACTCAGCATCTTTCTTCCCCACATCATCCACATAACTTATGTCCTGTCTTGAGAATCAGCATCTTCATCAATACCGCTATTCCAACCAGGAAGCCGAGAGTCCTCCCAGAATCCTCCCTGTTCTCTGTTCTCCACCACAGGCAGCCCTTATCACTGTTCATGCCTCCTCCTTCATAGCTTTCATATTCTGGACTTTCCCTTCTCTCCATGCCCACTGTCAGTGTGCTAGCTCAGGCTTTCGTCATCTCTCACCCAGACAACGGTAACCGACCCATAACTTGTGTTCTTGCCTCCATTAGTACAACCCTCCAAGCCCACAAATCTGCTCATATCGCTCCTTTGCTCAAAATTCTTTACTGACCTCCCCATTGCATATAGAACACAATCTAGACACCTTGCAGGGCTTTTAAGGCCCTTTGTGATTTGGTCTGTGTGTAGAGCCTCTTCCTCCTACCTGTATCCCTTTCTTTTGAAACGGAGTCTCGCTCTGTCACCCAGGCTGGAGTGCAAGGGTGCGATCTCGGCTCACCGCAACCTCTACCTCCCGGGTTCAAGAGATTCTCCTGCCTCAGCCTCCCGAGTAGCTGGGATTACAGGCACACGCCACCACCCCCAGCTAATTTTTGTATTTTTAGTAGAGACGGGGTTTCACCATGTTGGGCAGGCTGCTTTCAAACTCCTGACCTCAGGTGATTCATCCGCCTCTGCCTCCCAACGTGCTGGCGTGAACCACCGCTCCCGGCCCCTTTATCCCTTTTTACTTTGGTTTCTGGGAACAATAAAGTCCTTGCCGTTCCCAAAACACACAATTTTCTCACTTAAGTCCATGTCCTTGCACAAGCCCTTCCTTCTGCCTGGGCCCTGGTCCCTCCCTGTCCAGCTAGTACCCAGCCATCATCCTCCAAATCTCAACTCCAAGAGGAAGTCCCCTGTATTGGCTAGGACTCTTTAAGCTGCAGATGACAGAGCCCGGGGTCCTAGGGCAGGTCATAGATGCCGATTTGCATTTCCTCGGCCCATGCCCCGGCCTAGCCTCTCAAACCAAAAGGTTGTTCCCTTCACACTTCTGCTTCAGTCTAAATTTTGATTCAGTTGAGCTTCTTAAAGAGTGTTTTTAAAGACAACAGCTAGTGGTCTAGACTTTGAAATGAGATATTAAACAGTTTTCCTAGCTGTCTGTCCTGTTACTAGTTATATCAATAACTAGTATAATTTTATGGGCACTTTCACTGTAATAGAAATAGGAGAAGTACATGAAAGAGTTTAAACTGAGTGAAAATAACTGATGAAATTAATAGGCGAATTAAATAAATATTCCTGTTGTTCTCAGATTTTTTTGAAGTCGTTAATAATGAGAATAAGTTGTTCCTAAAGGTGGCTTGGAAATTCTATCTGATTTAGTTTTAAATGACTCTAAGATGCTGTCCTAGCAATAACACAAAAATTTTTAAAGAAAGAGACAAATAATCTCTGCAAAATTAATCAATTGACCCACCCAAGGATAGTGAGAAGCCAAGTACAATTGTAAAACATCTGTGTAGGAAAAATAAAAAGCATCCTCCCTTGTCCATTTTCAGGTTTCTATAGAAAGAAATCTCAAGAATCTCTCCTTTTATCTACACCAGGGATCAGCAAACTAGAACCTGTGGGTCAAATCCAGCCCAACACCTGTTTTTTTGTAAATAAAGTTTTATTGGAATACAATCATACCTGTTTGTTTATTTATGGTCTGTGGCTGCTTTTGCACCACAACTGCAGGGCTGAGTAATTGAAACAGAAATCTATGACTCACAAAACTAAAAATATATACTATCCAGATTTTTACAAACAAAGCTTGCTGGCCCTGTCTACACAAATAGAAGAAGAATTTTCTTTATTTACCAGTGACCATGAAGAAGGGCTTTTGATCTATGATTCAAGATTCCTGCAATAACACAGCATTGCACTTATTTTCTCAAATCAAGTCATGGATTTCTATGGAGTCTCTTACTAGGATACCAAACTCTCTACTTGTCTTTTTTATTTTCATAACTTTGGGCAGCATGTGAGGGATGTAATGACGGGTGACTAGTGTGTGTATTAGATCCAAAACAATGACCTAGAACCTAAATTGATGAGACTATAGAGGCTGAAGGAAATGAGTAAATCCACTGTGTGTCCCCATCCCAGAAAGACCCTTAAGGCACAAGTAACAGGCTCCAACAGCAACATGCTGATGGGTCATTTACTGATTGTTTTCTATCCTTTAAATAAATCTCCCAGGTCTTATCTACACTTCATTGGGATTAAAGCAGTATTGATTAATGCTCAACATTATTAACGATCAGGAAATGCAAATCAAAACCACTGTAAGGTACCACTTCACACTCGGGACAGCTATATTCAAAAATAAAAATAATAATATGTGTTGGGGAGAATGTGGTGAAATCGGAATCCTCATACACTGCTGGTGGAATTGCAAAATGGTACAGCCTCTTTGGAAAACAGTGTGGCAGTTCCTGAAAAGGTTAAACATCAAATTGCCATATGACCCAGCAATTCCACACTTAGATATATACCCAAGAGAAATGAAGACATGTCCATACAAAAACTTGTACATAAATGTTAATAGCAGCCAAAAAATAGCAGCCATTCACAGTAGCCAAAAAACAGAGACAACCCAAATGCCCATTCAATAGACAAATAATAGATAAACAAAACCTGTTCTATCCATACAATGAGATATTATTCAGCAATAAAAAGGAATGAAGTGGTGATACATGCTACACCACAGATGGAACTTGAAATAGTATGCTAAGTGAAAGAAGTAACAAAGAGCCTCTCCTGAACCAACTTTAGTCAGCTTCCTCTAAGCTCTTTTCTCAACTAGGCCTCACCCTTGGACCTTGTGCTCAGGACTGCATAGCCCAGATTTAGCAAGAATCCTGTTAAGTCAATTTAGCAAAATCTCTCACCCTCAAAACCTGATTATCCTCAATATCTGACCAAATTCCTCATCTTCCATCATCCCACACATGACGTCTGATCATCACCTTAGCCTGCCTTCTGCAAGAATCCCATTAGGTAGGTTTAGCAAGAATTCCCCCTACCCTTGATGTCTCCTCTAGTAATTTTCCTCCACCCCTTCACCTTCAACCGGCTCCACTTGTCTTATATTCGGAATTAAGCACCATTCTACACTGAGGTCTCTTTTTCCCCGTTGTCATAGTTCCTGGATAAAATCGCTGTTCGCAGCTTGAACCTATTGTCTGGCTCTGGTTTTCTTTAACAGAAGCCAACCACAAAAGATTACATATCGTATGATTCCATTTATATGAAATATCCAGAATAGGCAAATCTATAGAGACAGAAAGTAGATTAGTTACTGCCTTGGGATAGGGGATTTGGGGGTCACAGAGAGTCTGCTAATGGGTACAGAATTCCTTTTGGGGTGATGAAAATGTTCTAACACAAACTGTGGTGATGGTTGCACAATTCTGTGACTATATTAAACACCACTGAATGGTACATTTTAAATGGGAGAATTGTATGGTATGTGAATCATATCTTAATAAAGCCATTAAAAAGGAAGCATTAGTTATATTCTTTGGATGATGGGAAAGGAGGAAAGTTACTTTTTTATTAGCAAAATATTTAGAATTTTTAAAATTAAAATAATATATTCTATAGAGTGTAATAGGTTTTAAAACATTTTAAAATTTCTATCTGAAAATGGCAACTAGTAATTACAACTTCTGTTTTTGAGTGTGCGCTATAGACCAGGCAATGCTGGGTGCTTTGCATATATCAACTCTTGCAACAGCCCCATCTACAAACTGGTAATGATTATTCTTACAAATATTAACAGGTTCAGGAAAGGTAAGTGATAACTGGTTCAGGAAAGTTAAGTGGTCTGCCCCAAACCAAAACATTGTAGAACCCAAGCCTAAAGAGAATTTCTCATCTCCAAATCTTATGTTACACACTCTGAGACCAATATGTTTAGAGGCATAGGGGGAAATGCTGATAATATTAATAATACTGAATTTCCTCTACCTAGTTACTGAAACTAGAAGTGAGATCATACTTAGTATAGGGCCTGGCATAAAATAAGCTTTCAATAAATATCAACAACTAGTCATTATTATTATTATTGTTATTATTCCCCAAATTTAGTGACCTTTTTGCCTCATTCGTCCTTTTTGGACATTTTGCAGGTTTTGACACCAGTGCTTATTCCCCTTCTTCCTAATACTTTAACTTCTCTGGGGTTCCATGACACGTTTTCTGGTTTTCTTCTTACCCCTCTGATGGTTCCTCAATTTCTTAGATATGACACCAAAAACACGATCTGTAAAGGAAAGAAATAATGAATTGGACTTCATCAAAATTACAAAAGACACCATTAAGACCATAAAAAGTTTGAGAAATAATATTTGAAAATCCTACACCTGATAAAAGACATTTAACCTATGTGTGTGTGTGTGTGTATGTGTATATATATATATATATATATATATATATATATATATATACTCACAATTCAAAAGGAAAACAACACAATTAACAAATGGGCAAATTATTTGAAACGATGCATCACTAGGAAAGGTATATGAATAGCTACTGCATATGGGAAAAGATGCTCAACATCATTTACCACTTAAAATGCTAATAAAATCACAATGAGGTACCATTACATATTCACTAGAATGGCTATAAAGAAGACAATAACGGTTGTTGGTAAGGATGTGAAGAACATTCCTCCATTGCTGGAGGGAGTGTAAATGGTACGGCAGCTTTGGAAAACAGTTTGGCAGTTTTTTAGAGTTGAACTTATCATATCACACAAAGACTTTGACACAAGCAGGCAGAGTAGTATTATTCAGAATGCCCCAAACTGGAAATAATCCAAATATGCATGAACTGGTGACTGGATAAAAACAATGTAGTATACAATGGAATACTATTCAGCAACAGAAAGGAGCAAAGTACTGATATAAAAGACATGGATATCTTAGTCCGTTCCTGCTGCTATAACAAAATGCCACAGCCTGGGTTATTTATAAATAATAGAAATTTATTTCTCCCAATTCTGGAGGCTGGGAAGTTCAAGATCAGGGTGCCAGCAGGTTTGGTGTCTGATGAGGGTTTGCTGTCTGCTTCAAGACAGTATCTTGTTGCTGCATCCTCTGGAGGGATGAGTGGTATGTCCTCACATGGTGGAAGAGATGGAAGAGACAGACAGCTCTTTAAAGCCTCTTTTATAAGGGCATTAATCACTCCCCAAAGGGCCCCATCTCTTAATATCATCACCTTGGAAGTTGAGTTTCAATACATAAATCTTAGAGGGACACAAACATCACACCATAGCAATTGTTGTACCCCAAAATCATTGTGCTAAGTAAAAGAAGCCAGATACAAAACACAATATATGTAATTTATATGGTTCCATTTATGTAATAGTTCTAGAAAAGGCAAAAATAGAAACAAAAAGTGGATGAGTGTCTGGAGCTGGAGGTTGGAGATTGACTGCAAATGGGCATGAGGGCACTTTTTGGGGTGATGGAGATGTTCTAAAACTGGATTATGTTGATGGTTGCACAACTTTATAAATTTACTAAACATCATAAAATTGCACACTTACAGAGGCTGAATTTTATGCTATATACCTCAAGAAAGCTATGGAAGAATAAAGCTATTAAATAATTTTTTAAAGACATTAGAATTGTTACTGTTAATTCTATGGGCATTTTCATTAGTGAACTATTTGAAAGACTAAAGAGACAAGAAGAATTTTCATTGCCTGAAAATAAATAGAAGAGAAAAAGAGTTACCTGTGATTTAATCTAAGGGCAGGGAAGAACAGCCCTACAGAATGAACTGGAGCAGGCACATTGAGGGAAAAATAAATGAAGTTATTTTCTGATATTTCATAAGTTTGGTTTTTTCATATAAAGATTACAAATATAATGTTGTGAGCACAACTATGGAAGTACCCAAGACATTTAACCAGTGTGAGGAAGGAGGTTAAGCAGGGAATGTTTTACCAGTGTCCTAAAGGAAGAAAGGAGTTAGCCAGATAAGCTTAGGCAGGGAATGACATCTGGGCAGAAGCAGCAGCTTGAGCAAAGACAAAGAAGCAAGGAACAGCATAGGATCATAGTTCAAATCCTGGAACTGCCTATTGACTGGGCAGTCTTTTTTTAATATGATTTTTTATTGTGTTAAAATACACGTAACACAAAATTTACCATCTTAACTACTTTTAAGTGTATTTATAGTTCCATGGTATTAAATACGTTCATAACGTGCAACCCTCACCACCATTCATCTCCATAGCTCTTTTCATCTTTTAAAACTGAAAGTCTACATCCATTAAACAAATAATTCCCATTTTGTTCATATCCCAGCTTCAGGCAACCATCACTCTACTGTCTGTTTCTATGATTTTCACTAATCTAGGTACCTTATATAAGTGGAATTATACAGTACTTCTTTGTTTTTATGACTGGCTTATTTTACTAAGACTAATATCCTCAAGGCTCATCCATGTTACACCGTATATCAGGATTTTCTTCCTTTTTAATGCTGAGTAATATTCCACTGTATGGATATGCTACATTTGCTTATCCATTCATCTGTCAATGAATATTTAGGTTGCTTATACATTTTAGCTATTGTGAATAATGCTACTATATACATGGGAGTGCAAATATCACTTTGAGACCCTGTTTTCAAAGTTTGGGGGGCATATACCCAGAAATGGAATGGCTGGATCATATGCTAATTCTATTTTCAATTCTTGAGGAGTTGCTATACTTGTTTTCCACAGAGGCTATGTCATTTTACATCTCCACCCACAGTGCACAAGGGTTCCAATTTCTCCATATCCTCTCCAACACTTGTTATTTTGTTTTTTTGATAGTAGCCATCTTTTTAAATTTAAGATGTTATCTCAGTGAAGTTTTGATTTACATTTTCCTAATGATTAAATGATTGTAAAATCTTTTGCAAGTTATTTAACCTCTTTAAATGTTTGTTTCTTGGCATGTAAAATGGAGGTGATACAAAATTAACTATCTACTTAATTGAGGCACTATGATGATTGAACCAGAAAAACCCATGAAAAACATTTAGCTCTGTGTTCACCAATGATAAATGTTCGATCCTATGTGAGGAGCTACCAAAACAGTGGCTCTTAGCCTAGAGTTTTTAGAGTATGTGAATGTTCCCTTCACATACATGGGGTGCACTCCTATGATAATATTTTTTACCCTGTATTATTGAAAAGAATTAGTTAATAGGCATGTTAGATATGCTGATATGCTCCAATGTAAGGTGATCTTCCATTTTTCAAATAATGAGAATCCCAAAGATGTTTGCTCAACTGAAATATTTAACTAGATAACACTATCCTATGTTTATTTATAACACTTTAATTAAACATACAGATTTAAAATACATGAAATTTCCATTTTCACATTTCAATTTTATTCCAATTTTTAAAATATCAGCATCTACAACACAGTTACTCCTATTTTTTGAGACATCTAAGCTTTCCAATAAAATTATGTTCACTTCCTTCCAAGTAGTCTGAGATAAGGCACTTTTTGAATTCATATCTATGTATATATTCAACATATGAGTCTATGCTAAGTAAAAGAAACTGGTCACAAAAGACCACATATTGTATTATTCCATTTATATAAATGTCCAGAACAGTCAAATTTATAAAGCCAGAAAGTAGATTAGTGGTTTCCAAAGGTAGTAGTAAAGGAGGTGTGGGGAAAGAATAGGAAGTGATTATTAATGGATATGAAGTTTCTTCTTGGGATGATAAAAATGTTTAAAATTAGATTTTGTTAATGGCTGTGCAACTCTGTACATACTAAAGCCATTGACTCGTACAATTTAAAAAGATGAATTTCATGTTATATGAATTATATCTCAATAAAACTGCTTTTAAAAAGCCCTGGTAAGTATAACAGGAAATATGAAACTATTTAAAGTTGTATGTACTATATCACATGTTCCAAAAAGGTATAAAGCTAAAACTAATGGAAGAAAAAGGGAACACAAAAACCTGTCATCTAAGTGGAAGATTTTAACACATACCTCTCAATTCTGCACATCTCTCAATAAATACACAAAAACAATGAATACAAATATAAATAATTTGGGCCAGGCACGGTGGCTCATGCCTGTAATACCAGCAGTTTGGGAGGCAGAGATGGGTGGATCACAAGATCAGGAGTTCAAGACCAGCCTGGCTAAGATGGTGAAACCCTGTCTCTACTAAAAATATAAAAATTAATCGGGCACGGTGGTGGGCGCCTGTAATCCCAGGTACTCGGGAGGCTGAGGCAGAGAACTGCTTGAACCCTGGAGGTGGAGGTTGCAGTGAGCCAAGATCGCGCCACTGCACTTCAGCCTGGGTGACAGCGCGAGACTCCATCTCTAAATAAATAAATAAACACACAAATTGAACAATATGATAAACAAACTTGACATAATTGACATAGATAAAACACAGCACTGAACAGATGCAGAATGCATATTCTCATCAAATTTCCTCAGAATATTTACAAAAGTAAACCCTGTGCCATGTCACTAAGGAAATTCAACAGATTTTGCAATACAGAAATCATATAAAATATAGTTTTTGTCGACATAAGGATAAGCTAAAAAAAAAAAAACACCCAGATATATTCTATGTGGAATTCACCACATTTATACAATAAAGGAGGAAAAACAAATGATTATCTCAAAAGATACAGAAAAAGCACTTGACAAACATCAGTGTTGATTCATACTAGCTACTGAATCCAACAGCACGTCAAAAAGATAATACATCATCTAAATGGGTTTCATCCCAGAGATGCCAGGATGGTTTAACATACATCACATAACAGAATTAAAAACAAAAACCATACGATCATCTCAGTAGATGCAGAAAAAGCAAAAACTCTCAAAAAACTAAGCATAAAAGGGACTTACCTCAAAATAATAAAAGTCATATATGACAAACCCAGAGCCAACATCAATTAAATGGGGAAAAGTTGAAAGCATTCCCCCTGAGAACAGAAACAAGACAAGTACCCCCACTGTCACCACTCCTATTCAACATCGTTCTGCAAGTCCGAGCCAGAGCAGTGAAGCAAAAGAAAGAAATAAAGGGCATCCCAATTGGAAAAGAGGAAGTCAAACTATCACTGTTTGCAGACAATATGATCGCATACCTAGAAAATCCTAAAGACGCCACAAAAAGAGGCCTAGATGTGATAAACAAATTCAGTAAAGTCTCAGGTTACAAAATCAATGTACTTAAATCAGTGGCACTGCTATACACCAACAGTGACCAAGATGAGAATTACATCAAGAACTCAATCCCTTTTACAAGTGAAACAAACAAACAAACAAACAAACAAAAACCTACGAATATACTTAACTAAGGAGGTGAAAGGTTGCTACAAGAAAAACTGCAAAACGCTGCCAAAAGAAATCATAGATGACACAAACAAGTGGAAATGCATCCCATGTTTGTGGATTGGAAGAGTAAATATTATGAAAATGACCATACTGCCCAAAGCAATCTACAGATTCAATGCAATACCCATCAAACATAAACATTATTTTTCACAGAATTAGAAAAAATAATCCTAAAATTCACATGGAACAAAAAAGAGCCCAAATAGCCAAGCAATCCTAAGCAAAAAGAACAAATCTGGAAGTATCACATTACCAGACTTCAAATTATACTACAGAACTATAGTTATCAAAATAGCATGGTACTGGTATAAAAGTAGACCAATGGAACAGAATAGAGAACCCAGAAATAAAGCCAAATATTTGCAACAAACTGATCTTCAACAAAGCATACAAAAACATAAATTGGGGAATTAACACCCTATTTAATAAATGGTGTGGGACTGGCAAACCACATGTAGAAAAATGAAAATGGATCTCTATCTCTCATCTTGTAAAAAAAAAATCAACAGGAGATGGATCAAAGACTTAAATCTAAGACGTGAAACCATAAAAATTCTAGAAGACAATATTGGAAAAACTCTTCTAGACATCGGTCTGACTAAAAATTCACGACTAAGACCCCAAAAGCAAAGGCAACAAAACCAAAAATAAATAATGGAGCCTAATTAAACTAAAAAGCTTCTGCACAGCAAAAGAAATAATCATCACAGTAAACAGCCCAAAGAATGGGAGAAAATATTTGCAAACTATGCATCTGATGAAGGACTAGTATCCAGAACCTACAAATAACTCAAACAAATCAGCAAGAAAAAAAAAAATCCCATCAAAAAGTGGGCAAAGGACACGAATAGATATTTCTCAAAAGAAGATATATAAATGGCCAACAAACATATGAAAAATGCTCAAAATCACTGAGCATCAAGGAAATACAAATTAAAACCACAATGAGATACCCTCCTTACTCCTGCAAGAATGGCCATAATTAAAAAGTCAAAAAACAATAGATGTTGGTATGGATGGGGAGAAAAGGGAAGGCTTATACGTTGCTGGCGGAAATGTAAATGAGTATAACCTCTACGGAAAACAGTATGGAGATTTGTTAAAGAACTAAAAGTAGATCTACCATTTGATTCAGCAATCCCACTACTGGGTATTTACCCAAAGGGAAGGGAGTCATTATATGAAAAAGACACATGCACACATATGTTCATAGCAGCACAATTCACAATTGCAAAGATGTGGAACCAACTTAAGTGCCCATCAACTAATGAGCAGATAAAGAAAGTGTGGTATATACACACCATGGAATATTACTCAGCCATAAAAAGGAATGAAATAATGTCTTTTGCAGCAACTTGGATGGAGCTGAAGGCCATTATTCTAAGTGAAATAACACAAAAGTGGAAAACCAAAAATCATATGTTCTCACTTATAAGTGGGAGCTGAGCTATGAGTACACAAAGGCATTTAGAGTGATATAATGGACTTTAGAGACTCAGAAGGGGGAGGATGAGAGGAGAGCTAGGGATAAAAAAAAGTTATCAATTGTCTCTATCATGAGGGTGAAAAGCATACTATAGACTGGACTTGACAAGAGACTCATATCCAAAATACAAAAAGCTCCTACAACTCAATAAAAAATGGCCAAAAGCTACATTAAAAATTAGGCAATGAACTTGAAAAAGCATAAAAAAGGATATCCAAATACCCAATTAACTTATGAAACTTAGCTATTATAGACATGCAAAATAAGCCAATGATGAAATATTACTAAATGCCTACAAAAGAATGGCTAGTTAAAGAGTGGTGATATCAAGTATTAACTAGAGCCACCAGAACTTCCATGTACTCCTGGCCAGCACATAAACTGATGCAATAGTTTAGAAAAAATGTTGATACTACTATAGCATTTGAAAACACTGTATGTAAAAACCATAGAATACAGTTAAGATAGTGCTCAGAAAAAAGTTTATAGCATTAAATATTCAATATTACAAATAAAGATAAAAACTAATGAAATATGTATCCATTTTAACAAATTTAAAAAAGAACAGCAAAATAAACCCAAAGGAAATGGAAGCAAGGAAATAAAGTTCAGAGTAGAAATTAGTAAAATAGAAAGCAAACATGCAATAGAGAAAATGGTTAACAAAGCAAAAGTATAATTAAATTGATAAACCTCTAATGAGATTAATCTAGGGGAAAAAAGAGAGATCATGCATATAACAAACATTAAGAATGAAAAGAGAAAGTAAATGTAGATTCTTCAAATACGAAAAGATTAAAATCTATTATGAATAACTTTTTACTAATATATTAGAAAATTTAGATGAAATGAGTTTCTAGAGAAATAGAACATACAGCTAACTCAAGAAGAAATTGAAAGCCTGAATAGTCATATACCATAAGAAATTGAATCAGCACTCAAAGATCTTTCCAAAAAAAACAATTTATAAGCTTAGATGGCTGCAACAGGGTATCTGCCAACATTCAAAAAAGAAATAATTTTACACATACTATTCCAGAAAATAGAAAAATAAGGATACTCCCCAATTCATTTTATGAAGCTTACATAACCTTAATAGCAAACTCTAATGAAGATGTTATAAAATAGGAAAATTACAAGCCAACTTTACTTATGAACATATATGCAAAAATCCTGAACAAATAATTAGCAAATTTACTTCAATGTCAGATTGATCTACTTTAGGAATTCAAGATTGGTTTAACTTTAGACAGTCAATTACTGTAATTCACTACATTAACAGATTAGAGGGAAAAAACAATAGAAACAAGAAAAATAGTGTGATAGAAAATTCAACATACATTCATGATTAAAACAAACAAAAAACAAAAAACCTTAGCAACCTAAGACTAGAAGGGAACTTCCTCAATCTTAAAAATTTCCCCCTAAGCAGTATTCCCAGCTACTCAGGAGGCTGAGGGAGGAGGTTCACTTGAGCCCAGGAGTTTGAGTTCAGCCTGGGCAACATAGCAAGGTCCCATCTCTACATAAATAAATAAATGTCCCCTTGAGAGCAGGAATAAAACAAGAGTGCTTTTATTTAGCATTGTACTGGGGAGAAGGTTGTATAAGCATTGCAAAGGATATCAAATCAATGTACTAAATTCAGTTACAGTCATAAATATATGTAATATCTAGAATTAAAGCTAACAAAAGATATGAAATACTTCTATGGAAAAAATATAAAACCTTATTGAAAGACAGTAAAGGAGATCTGCATAGTGTCGAAATATATAATATCAATGCTTTAAAAAACTCAATATTGTGAAATGGCAATTTAGTACAATACCAATAAGAAACAAGTCTGTTTTGGTTTTGATTTGCTTTGATCTGATCTTTTCAGTGAAACTTGGCAAGCTAATTCTAAAATTTACATGGAGGTACAAAGAGCCAAAAATAGCCAAAACATTTTGGAAAAGAGAAGGTAGGTGAATTTGAGATATACTGGATCTCAAGACTTATTTTTAAATCCATAGTAATGTACATAGTGCAATATTAGTCTAGGAACAGACAAATGGGACATAAGGCACAGTGATAGATGACAGAAGTGACACTGCCTATTCAGAAGGTAGTGGTATACTTTTCAATAACTACTGCTGGAAATATTGAATATCCATACAAAAAATTCACATAGAAAAATAAAATTGAAGGGCCAGCTGCAATGACTCACACCTGTAATCCCACATTTTCGGAGGCTGAGGCATGAGGATGGCTTGAGGCCAGGAGTTTGAGACTAGCCTGGGTAAGATAACAAGACCCCGTCTCTACAAAAAATAAAAAATTTAGTGAGGCATAGTAGTGCATGACTATAGTCTCGGCTACTCAGGAGACTGAGGTGGGAGGATTGCTTGAGCCCAGAAGTTCAAGGCTGCAGTGAGCTATGATTGTGCCACTGCACTCCAGCCTGGGCAACAGAGCAAGACCTCATTGTCTGTCATGTCTGTCTCCAAAAAAGGTTGGTGATGACATCACCAAGGCAACTAGTGACTGGAAGGGTCTGAGGATTACAATGAAACTGACCATTCAGAACAGACCAGCCCAGATTGAGGTGGTAACTTCTGCCTCTGTACTGACCATCAAAGGCCTCAAGGAACTGCCAAGAGACTGAAAGAAACAGACGAACATTAAACACAGTGGAAATACCACTTTTGATGAGACTGTCAACACTGACAGATAGATATGGCATCGATCTTTAGCCTGAGAACTCTCCAGAAATGTTAACGAGATCCTGGGGACTGCCCAGTCTGTGGGCTGCAATGGTGATGGCCACCACTCTCAGGACATCATAGATAACATCAACAGTGGGACAGTGGAATGCCCAACTAGTTAAAGAGTATTGAAATATAAAAATACCTTAATAATGGACCATTTGACAATCAAAATAAAGAAAAAGGTTTTTGGATCACTACAAAAGCAGCAACGACTTGGCCAAGGTTCAGGAGAGGAAGATAGCCCAGAGAAGTAAGCCCAAAGTTTGAAACTGGTTTTGTCCTCAAGGCATATGCCAACTTGAATATGAGAGCTGAGAGGCTGAGAATGTAAACAGTAAGTGGTAGCTAAGAGACTGAGAAGCCAGGCAGAATTTACAGGACTGGATACTGAAGTTCACAGCCTGCAGAGGAGAGGCTCTGGCTTTTGGTGAGAATCCCAAACAGTCTTGTCTCGGAAATAAGGATAAACTGGAAATAGACCCCTCAAGAGGACTGGAGTCCAGTTTTCTTTTCTTTTTTTTTTTTTTTTTTTTTTTTTCGCCCAGGCTGGAAGTGCAGTGATGCAATCTTGGCTCACTGCAACCTCCACCTCCCGAGTTCAAGCAGTTCTCCTGCCTCAGCCTCCTGAGTAGCTGGGATTACAGGCGCCCACCACCACGCCCAGCTAATTTTTGTATTTTTAGTAGAAACGAATTTCACCATGTTGGCCAGGGTGGTTCACACTCCTGTCCTCAGGTGATCCGCCCACCTCAGCCTCCCAAAGTGTTGGGATTACAGGTGTTAGCCACAGTGCCCGGCCAGAGTCCAGTTTTCAATCAGCTCAATATTTAACCAGATTAAGTTGATCAGTCCCTAGCCTAACTGACTGACAGATGGAACAGTAAATTCTCTCTAGAAGACAAAAATCAGCCAAAGCCTGAAATAATCCCTACGATTTTCTACATATACTTCCCAGAAACAATCAAAACTAACCAGCAATTTGAAAAGAAAAAATTTTTTTTAACAAAAACATAGAATTTTGTTAAAGCAGCAAATAAAATACACTCATAAACAAGCCAGATATTAAAGCTATGAAATATGAATGTTTAAATAACTGCAATTAATATGTTCAAGAAATCGGAAGACAAAATGAGAGATTTCAGTAAATAAGAAAATGATCCTAAAAGAATCAGTGGAAATTCTAAGGCTAAAAACAACAATATCTGAAATTAAGAATTCAATGAGTGGGTTTAATAGCAAATTAGATAAAACTGAAGAGAAACAGTAACTCAGAAGATGATAGGTCAGGAATAAAATCCTGAATGTCAAATGGAGAAATAAAAGAGTGGAAAATACAGAAAATCGCCTAAGAAACAAAGGTCTAATATAAGTATAATCAAAGTTCAGAACAAAGGGAAAGAGAGAATGAAGTAGAAGCGATATTTGAAGACATAATGGCACAGAATTTTCCAAAACCAGCAGAAGATTCAGGAAGGACAAACAACCCCTACATGTATCTTAGTAAAACTGCTGAAAACCAAAGACAAAAAGAAAATCTTAAAAGCGGCTAGAGATATAATTCAAAAGCAGACAAAACTCGACTATATTGTTTAGGGATGCTTAGCTAGGTAGCTTAACTTTTTAAAAAGCAATAAATTATTGTTTTAAAATGTAAGACATCTGTTGTCTCTAAAGGACGATGGGGGAAGTGATCGGGAAGGACTTCCTTTGGTGCTGGCAATGTTCAATTTCCTAACCTCAATAGTGGTTACCTGGGCAGTTGCCTTATAATTATTCATTAAACTGCACATGCATGTTGTGTGTACTTTCTGTATTTATTTATAATGTGCAATAAAAGGGAAAAAGCTAAGTAATGTTTTTAAAATATGTTTTACAAGTGATGTTGTTGGTTTTTTTCTTAGAGACTGATGACATAGACTACTTTCTGTGGAAATGTTTTTCATCTTAGTGTTTTCATTAGCATTATCAGCTAAGTGGATGTATAATTCTGAATCTTTTGTTGTCATTTCAACAATGTTCATAGTATCTTTACCAGGAGTAGATTCCATCTCAAGACACCACTGTCTTTGCTCATCTATAAAAAGCAACTCTTTAACCCTTCAAGTTTGATCATGAGATTGCAGCAAGTCAGCTCCATCTTCAGGCTCCACTTCTAATTCTAATTCTCTTGCTATTTCCACCACATCTACAGTTACTTCCTCCACTGAAGTCTTGAATCCCTGAGAGTCATCCATAAGAGTTGAAACCAACTTCTTCCAAACTTCTGTTCATGTTGATATTTTAACCTTCTCCCATGAATCATTAATGGTCTTAATGTCATCTACAATGGCAAATCTTTCCCAGAAGTTTTTCAGTTTACTTTGCCCAGATCCATCAGAACAACCACTACCTATGACATCTAAAGCCTTACAAAATGTATTTCTTTTTTTTTTTTTTTTTTTTTTTTTTTTTTTTTTTGAGACGGAGTCTCGCTCTGTCGCCCAGGCTGGAGTGCAGTGGCGGGATCTCGGCTCACTGCAAGCTCCGCCTCCCGGGTTCACGCCATTCTCCTGCCTCAGCCTCCCAAGTAGCTGGGACTACAGGCGCCCGCCACTACGCCCGGCTAATTTTTTGTATTTTTAGTAGAGACGGGGTTTCACCGTTTTAGCCGGGATGGTCTCGATCTCCTGACCTCGCGATCCGCCCACCTCGGCCTCCCAAAGTGCTGGGATTACAGGCGTGAGCCACCGCGCCCGGCCACAAAATGTATTTCTTAAACAATAAGACTTGAAAGGTGAACTTACTCCTTGATCCATGGCTGAAGAACGGATATTGTGCTAGCAGACGTGAAAATAACATTAATCTTCTTGTACATCTCCATCGGAACTCTTGGGTGATAGGTGCATTGTCAATGAGCAGTATATTTTGAAATATTTTTCTGAGCAGTAGATCTTAACAGCAGGCTTAAAATATTCAGTAAACCATGCTAAAAACAAGTATGTTGTCAACCAGGGATTGTTGTTCCATTTATAAAGCATATGCAGAATAGATTTAGTACAATTCTTAAGGTCCCTAGAATTCTCAGAATGGTAAATGAGCACTGGCTTCAACTTAAAGTCACCAGCTTCATTAGCCCCAAACAAGAGAGTCAGCCTGTCCTGTGAAGCTTTGAATCCAGGCATTGACTTCTCCTTTCTAGCTATGTAAGTCCTAAATGGCATCTTCTTCCACTAGAAGGCTTTTGCATTTACAATGAAAATCTGTTGTTTAGTGTAGCCACCTTCAGCAGTTATCTTGGTTAGATCTTCTAGCTAACTTGGCGAAACTTCCATATCAGCACTTGCTGCTTCACCTTGCATTTTTGTTATGGACATGGCTTCTTTCCTTAAACCTCACGAACCAATCTCTGCTAACTTCCAATTTTTCTCCTCACATCTCAGCTTTCATGGACTTGAAGAGACTTAGGGCCTTGCTCTAGATTAGGCTTTGGCTTAGGGAATGTTGTGGCTGGCTTTAGTATCTAGACTAAAATGGGATACTAAACTAGAGACTAAAACTTTCTCCATATCAGCAATAAGCCTGTTTCTCTTTCTCAACATTCATGTATTCACCACAGTAGCACTTTTAATTTTCTTCAAAAACTTTTCCTTTGCACTCACAACTTGGCTAACTGTTTGGTGCAAGAGGCCTAGCTTTTGACCTGTCTGGACTTTTAACATGACTTCCTCACTAAGTTTAATCATTTCTACCTTTTGATTTAAAGTGAGAGATATGTGACTCTTCCTTTCACTTGAACGCTTAGAGGCCATTGTAGGTTATTACTTGGCTTAATTTCAACATTGTTGTGTCTCAGGGAATAGGGAGGCTTGAAGAGAGGAAGAGACTCGGAGGAATGGCTGGTCAATGGAGCAGTCAGAACATACACATTTATTGATTAAGTTCACCTTATGGACACAGTTTATGGTTCCTCAAAATAAATTACAATAGTAACATCAAAAAATTACTGATAATGGATCACCATAAGAGATATAATATTAATATAAAATTTTAAAATATTGCAACAGTTACCAAAATGTGACATAGAGACACAAAGTGAGAACATGCTGTTGGGAAAATGGCACCAATAGACTTCCTCCTTACTCGACGCAGGGCTGCCACAAACCTTCAATTTGTAAAAAATGCAACATCTATAAAGCACAATAAATCAATCCACAAGAACATGAGGTAGGTTTGTACTTGACATATTCAACCACCCACTTCTTTAAACAACCTTCTTCAATGAACAGGCTTCAGTGGCACAAAACAAAACAAACAAGCAAACCTTGTGTTTCTCCTCTCTCCAATTGTCCTCTCTTGCTTTCCTGTTGGCACTTCCATTTTACCAAGTGAAAAGTCATAAGTGTGGGCATTTCTCATACACTCTGCCGTTCTCTTTATGACTATGTATTCCTTCTGGTAACTCCTGTCTTCAGAATTAAATTACCACTCTGTGGTAATGGCTTTCAACACTTTAAATCTGAGAGCTTAAGCCACCAGCGCTCCAACAGTGTGCAAACCATCTGCACTGGGATGGCCCACCGTCAACTCAATCTTTCCATCTTCCACACTGAATGCATTTTGTTCTCCACCAAACCAGCTTACCCTTGCAAGTGTCCAGTTTCCATCAGGCACTTTAATGGCAACAAAAACCTCATTGTTCTTTTATCCTTCTTTCTCTTTCATGTTCTAAATCCAATTGTCCCTCAAGTCCTTTTGATCCATTTTTCAAAATCTCAACTCACAAACTTTGGAGAGAAGAAGACCTGAATTTGATTCTAGCCTCTGGCACTTAATATCTAAAAGATCTTTGGAAAAATTGCTTACTTTCTCTGTGCCTTTGTAAAATGTGGCCAATAATACCTGCTCTGCTTGGAAACGTTAGTTTATTTTTTTTCCTCCATTCTCATTAATACCGCCTGACTTCAAGCCCTCATTTTCTAACTGTTAGGCTGATGAAACGGCCACTTAGCTGAGTTTCCTACTTCTCATCTTCTTTTATTCCAGCCTACTCTGCTAGCACAATCAGATCAAATTCGAAGAAATCAAATCAACCATGTCACTCCAGTTCCTCATAGCTGTGAATGCTTCCCCACTTAGCTGTTGGATGTTTATATTCACAGACACGGTATTAAGCATCTCAGGGTCTCATACTATCTATTTAATTTTTTCTCAAAAAAACCCCCCAAAAACCTCTTAACTTCTACAGGATGATTTTTACTAATCCCGTTCAAACTTCCCATATGGTGCTTCCCCAGCCTGGAATGTACTTAACTTTCTTTCCTTCTGTCTATTCAAATTCACTCTTCAAATTACCTCTCCTCCAGGTCCTCTCTACTTACTGCAGGAACTTGAATTTCCAAGCTTGTTTAGAACTTAATTCTACTCCTTGTTTTGATACATAATTATATGCTCCCTTCCATGGCTTAACTGTTCAGTGTAAGGGTGTATTATCATTTCAACCAAGACAGCAGGCTTCTGGAAGGCAAGGCCTATGTCCTACGTGACTTCTCTGGAACCCTTAGCAACCAGCACAATAACACACACACAGTTGGTTCTCAATTCCTGTTGAATGAATGTGACAGGTCATCACTTGATGCAGATACAGCTTACTTCCTTTTTTAAAATTCTAAAATGTTTCAAATATACAGCAAACTCTAGAGAATAACAGCAAACATCTTGATCACTTAAATATTAATATATTCTCATGTTAGATTCCAAGTTTTCTAAGGAAACAAAACTTTGCGAATGCTGTTGAAGTCTGTTGTACCTGTCCCTGATCCCATTCCCTACCCTTTTGTCCCAGACGTACCCATCCAGATGTGTCCTTAGAGTCAACATGTTTAAAACTTGAATTACTCATCTATGTGATCATAGAGTCCACTTTTTGTGTTTTTAAATTTTATATAAATGTTTACAGCATATTTTGCATCTACTAATTGCTCTTTTCAACTCATTACTAGGTTTTTGAGGTCTACTTACACTGATAAAATAGAGACATGGGTTAGTCATTTTACTGTTCCATAATGCTTCATTGTACGACTATATCATAATGTATTTGTCTGTTCCTAAGTTGATGAAAATTTAAGTTGTTTCCAGTTGTTTGTTATTATAAGTAATGTTGCAATAAACATCCTCAAGAATGTGAGGCAGCCTACTTCAAAACAAGCAAACCCACAAATTAAGTCTGTAATTCCCAAACAATGTTTCACATATGTCCTCAAATTTTTAAACTTCCAAATATTCCAGTCAGGCCTCAGCCTGGTTCATAATATTCCACAGCTGATGTAGCATATAAAGAGCAGGACCCAGTCTCCCAGTCTCAGTACAATTGATTTTTCCTTTTTCCTGAAGTTCATCAACCTCAAAATATTAGTAATCACTTTATTCCTCACTATCAATATACCACAGTTAATAGCTGGGAGCCACGTGAAAATGAGTACACTGTGTCTAGGTAAACATTTCTCTTCTTAGCCCAAAGCTTTTTAAATGTCTGATCAGCCATCATTTAATAAATATTTGTTGAACTCGGTAACATCAGGCCCTGTTCTAGGCACTGGGAATCAAATGGTGAAGCAGAACATGCTTCCATGGAGCTTGTATTCTAATAGGAAAATACAGGTAATAAATGCTGTATAAAGAAATAAATAAATAAACAAACAAGTAAACACAAAATATATCAGAGAGCAATAAGTGCTATGATATTAAAGTGGCAACATGATAGAATAAAACTGGGAAAGGCAATGCACCTACTCTAGACCACCATGTCCAGTGGGACTTCCTGCAGTAATGGAATAGTTCTATATTTGTGTCATCCAATGCGGTAGCCCCTAACCCCACTTGAAATGTGACTAGTCCAAATGAAGAACTGAATTTTTAATTTAATTTTAATTAATATAAACTTTAAATGGCCACATGTGGCTAGTGGCTCCGCTACTGAACAAGGTGGTTTGCCCAGGATCACAGTGGGGGTTAGTGGCAGAGAAATTGGAACCCAAAGAGTCTGCCATCAGAGTTTATGTTCATAACCACTACATCATACAACCTCTGCTGGTATATTAGCTGAAAGAAGGGATCCTGACAGGTTTTGCCTATTTGTTAGTTTGATAATAGTGCGTTTTTATGCTGATGGAAGTTAGTTCATGGAAAGTGAACAAGGGATGACATAGAAGAGAGAGAATGCAAAAGGAGGTGTCTTGAAAAATAAGAGGAGATGAGATCCAGAACACAAGTGAAGGAGTTGGCCTTTGAGAGGGAGAGTTAATTCTTAGCACAGCAGGGAGGGCAGACACTGTGGGTGCTGGAGATGGGATAGTGAGGGAGTTTCTGATCTTTGCTCTGACTTCCTCAGTGAAGTGTGAAGCAAGAGCATTAGCTGAGAGTCAGGAAAGGAGGGGCAGGAATAGGAAGTTTGAGAAGAAGGAAAGGTATGATAGCAGTAATTTTGGGGAATGGCAAGTGTAACTGAACATTTAGACAGTTTTGAGCACCCATTTGAGATCCGTGGTCATGAATTTTAAATGAAACCACTCAGTATAGTTATTTGTTCTGGTCATGCCCTGATCTTCTTAGTTCCAAAGGGAACTAACCAAGTCTCTGGACCCCCAAACTTCTGTGAGGAAGCAGGCTGAGAAAATTACTCAGTTGCAAACATGAGCTATTTCTTATGGAAGATGAAGAGTGACTCAGAATCCAGAGCCAACAGCCATGGTAAATCATTCTCAGGGAGCAAGATTGGACCCACTCAAAACAACAGGTGACATGTGTTTTATGTGACTACCATGTGTCGGTCCCTTCCCTTTTGTACAGGAATGTTTCTTGTAGCCATGGTCGCCTGTATCACCATTGCATCTTGGGCATACAGAGAGCAAATAAACTGGTCTCTTTGGCTCAAGGTCTTCCCATTAAGAGAAACCATATTCAAGGTGTGGTACCAAAAAGAACTACAGTTGTATCTGATTAGATGACAAGATCCTGGAGTTTGACTCAATGCTGAAATAAAAGGACACTGGGGATCTTAGGAGGGAATGATATAATTTTGCATGTAGGAGGGATACAAATTGTAGTGGCAAGAAGGCAGACAGTGGATGAAAATCAAAGATGACACCATCAATTCCTTCCCTACTTGCAAATGCATGCTGTTCCTCCATCAAAAGGTGGAGTTTAATTTCCCATTCCTTGAATCTGGGCTGGCTTTAATGATTTGTCTTGACCAATAGAATACAGTGAAAATGAAGTTCTGGGACATCCAAGAATATGTTATAAAAAGCCTTGCAACTTCTGCCTTAGAACATATGCTCTTGGCACATTCTTCTTCGATCCCTGAACCCCATATAAAAATCCCAGCCCACTCTTCTGAAAAAGAAATGTATGGGGGAGGACTGAGGTATCAGACATATGAGTGAATATTATCCAGCCCAGTCAAGTCTTCAGGTGGCTCCAAGACCACCCACAATTTAAGTGCCAATGCATGAGAAATCCCCAAGAGAGAACTGTGCAGGTGAGCACAGTCAACTCTCAGAACCATGGAGAAAATAATAAATTGTTGTTTTAAGCCACTGCATTTTTAGGATGTTTGTTACACAGCAACAGATAACAAGAATATCATGGTTTTGAGCCCCTCACCAGTCTGTTCTACGTATGTTCTCATTTTTGCCATCTAAGTCACAGATGTTAAATCTTTCTATTTATACTCCTGCCTGCTTTCCAAAGAGGATTTGTCCTGTTAGGCTAGAGAGTTTCCTGTTTTGACTAGTGCCCTGATGGTGTTGGGTATAGAAACTTGCAGGGAGGAACTGAAAGTAGAAACTAGGTTCAAGTTTAATTGCTCTAATTTATAAAGAAAAAAGGAATTTGAAATTCCTGAGGGAAATTGAGGAAAGAGGAGAAACAAGAGCCAAGAATGATGGGGAAAGTATCAGAGAAATTGAAAAGAAATCTCAGTGGTGGCACAGCAGCCAAAGGACAATAAAACACAGGCATCTGATGGAAGGGTTAACTTGTCAACTTGGGAGGATATAACATAAAATCTCTCCTTTGACTTAGCAAAGTTTCAAGAAAATCTACATTGCTCACATATCATTTTTTGTGGTGAGATCTACCGTTTTAGTGATTTTCAAACATATAATATATTGTTATTAACAGTAGCCACCATGGCCAATCAATCAATCTCTTGAACTCATTCCTCTTGTCTCACTGAAATTCTGTGTCCTTTGACCAATATCGCCCTAGCCCCCAAATCTCCAGTTTCTGGTAACCACCACTTTATTCACTGTTTATATGAATTCAACTTTTTTTATACTCCACATATAAGTGAGATCATGTAGTATTTGTCTCTCTGTGCCTGGCTTATTTCACCTAATTTAATGTCCTCGAGGTTCAACCACGTTGTCACACGTGACAGTATCACCTTCATTTTTAAGGCAGAATAGTATTGCATTGTGTATATTTACCACATTTTCATTATCCATTCATCTGTTGATGGATACTTTGGCTGCTTCCATTCACTTAGGCTGTTATGAATAATGCTACAATGAACCTTGGAGTGCAGATGTTTCTTTGACATATTGATTTCATTTCCTTTGAATGTATACCCAGAAGTGGGATTGCTGGATCATAAGGCAGTTCTTCTATTTTTAATTTTTTGAGGAACTTCATACTATTTTCCATAATAGCTACGTTAATTTACATTCCCACCAACAGTATATAAAAGTTCCCTTTTCTCCACATCCATGCCAACATTTGTTATCTTTTTTCTTTTGGATAATAGCTATTTTAACAGGTGTGAGGTGGTAGCTCATTGTAGTTTTAATTTGCATTCCCCTGATGATTAGTGATGTTAAACATTTTTCCATATAACTGTTAGCTATTTCTGTTTTCTTTCAAGAAATGTTTATTCAGGTCCTTTGCTCATTTTTAATTAGGTTATTTGTTCCCTTACTATTCAGTTGTTTGAATTCTTTTTTTGAAATATATTAACCCTTCATCACATATACAGTTTGCAAATATATTATCCCATTCTGTAGGTTGTTTCTCATTCTGTTGATTGTTTCTTTTGCTATCCAGAAGATTTTTAGTTTGAGGTAATCCCATTTGCATGAATGGATTCTTTAGTGAAATTCCAAGAGGTAATGCATTGGCATGCAAGCATAATGGAATGGAAGAATAATGAGGCAGCCAATATCTGGGTTACATTTCAGAAAAATGTTGACTAGAACAGGTGTTCAATCTTGTAACCTGACATTAAAGAACTTCCCTCAAACCAACGTTGATCTACTAAAAATGCATGTTTCCATAAAATTGTTTGATAATTTTGAGTCATTAAACTTACTGTTATCTATCCTATTTCTCTCCAAGTTATTTCAAAGGATATCACAGGAAAGAGTTAAAAGTCTTAATAAAATCCTTATATATATAGGACAGTCCTCTTAACTACAGTTTAGCAGCCCTGTAAAAGAGATAATTAGATTGATTTGACATATGTTGTTACAATCATGCAGCTTCCCTATGTGCTCCAAAAAAATTCATCCTTTTAATTAATCATTAGGTAATTTTAACAGGAATTGACATTAGGCCCACCTATAGTTGCCTTTTAGAAAGTATTCATTGCTGCCTGAAACCCAGAGTGCTTATTAAAATCTAGTCACATTTAGGACAGAATTTCACAGATACAGGGTACTACTGGACTTTCATTGATGGCTCTGATATATCTCTGTTATTATACCATTGGTAACTTGTATATACATGTGGGATGAGTTGGCGCCTTAGAGATGTTGCCTCATCCAAATTATTGGCTACCTTTAATGATCCTAAATCTTGGCTTTATATCAGTTAAATAGTCTCCTAAGAATAGATGCCCTGGGAAACATCTAACTAGACCTGAGGTGTCTAATTAGAGAGTTTGATATCTCTGATATCAGCTAGTAGCTTGGCCTTCCAAGGTTTTACAATTACAGTGGTCAATCAGCAGTTTTTGTTTAAGATCAGAGAAGTTGAAACACGACAGTGACAAGGAATGGGAGTTTGTCAGAACAGTAGCAGAGTTGAAATTTAAATGCATATTTGGGAAAGAAGAGATGTTGACTAAAGTTGCTGACCCAAGAAAAAAGAATTTGGTTCTGAAATAAAGCTGGAGAGGCAAAGTTGGGACAAGCATATTTCTATATTTCTTAGTATAAGATGTCTGGACATGATGAAAGATTTAGAAATTTAAATGAAAAATGAATAAAGGAGTTTCTTTAAAAAAAAAAAAGCTGGCAATAAGACTAGGAATGTCCCTGGATATCTGGGATTTCCTTCCTGTTAATAATACACAGAGCCTGGTGATTCTTTCCTCTTACATCTCTTCTTACTTTCTGAAGATAAACTATTTCAAGCAGTTTGGATCTGTGAAGGGTATGATGAATAAACATGTTCTTCAGCTTTAACAAAGGTATAGAGATTGCAGGAAGTGAACAGCCACTTTAAAAAATGAAGAGAATCCCAAATGTGTAAAATAATACACTCTAAAAGGAGTGCTCTGTAACCCAGGAATGACTGAATTTTTTGAGGCGCTGGTGTGAATCTTTATGAAAGGATGTGTATCAGACACCGCAGGATAGCTCACCTAGGCACATTGCCAGATACCCTCCCACCTTCCTCTTCCATAGAGGGGGATGTATTGATTAAAGAATCTCCAACTCTCCATTGCAGCGTGTGTGTGTGTGTGTGTGTGTGTGTGTGTGTGTGTGTGTGTGTGTGAGACTCTGGTATATCTCTGTGTATGGTTGCTTTGGGTATTGTTAGAGGTCAGTTTTTCCTATTGTGCATGCCCAGGATACACGACTTCTAGGCCAAGGGCTCCCTTGCTTCTGAAGGAGTTCTGACATTCAGGTTCTGGTCATGCCCTGATCTTCTTAGTTCCAAAGGGAGGAATGGTTGCTTTGGGTGTTGTTAGAGGTCAAAGTTTTTCCTATTGTACATGCCCAGGCCACATGACTTGCATGCTGTAAACTCAGAGCCAGCACATTCCTTGCTATTTAAATTGCTGGACAAAATACAACAGAGAAAATATATCCTTATTGTTCACTCTGTAATGTATTCAACAAGCAGTCATTAAGCTTTGTAAAGAAAACATTACTAGATGCCTGCTACTATGGTAGATGGTGGAGCTAAAATGATGAGCGAGACAAAGTCTCAGACCCAAGGAACTCATTATTTATTCTGAAAAACAGAGTAGTAGTGCTCAAAGTTGTAAATGTTAGGAGAAGGGCAAGAAGAGAGTATATTACAGGGTTCTGTTCTGGGATAGGGGAAGGAAAGGTTTGCAAAGATGGTGACCACTAAGCTGACTCTGAAAAAAGAAATTAAAGTTCACCAGATGGTCAAGAGAGAATATGGCTTTTGGAAACACTGTGAGCTAGCTGAATTTGCTCAGAGTGCAATAACTTTCAGTTTTTGCTACTTACTGATTTATATAGAACAGTCTAAAAAATGACAATAGTTGATCACTGGATCATTAATTTCCTGCATTACTGCTTCAGTTACTCCAAAGAAACTTGCATTTGTCTCATTCACCAAAGGCAATGCTGTGGTTTGGCCTTCTTTATATATTAAGACAAACTTTAGGATGTTCATCATTGACCTCAGGTTCCTTTGCATTAAGCCTGGTATAAATTACTGAGAAAAAAAAATTAGCTAATGAAGAAGAAATGTAGAAATGTCCTATCATTCCTTTTTCATTCCTCTGGCTCTGAAAAAAAATTCTAAAACCAGCCTGGAGCTATTTTTGGACAATCATAATATATCCAACATAGAAAAGTTAGAACCCCAATTGATCAAAATGACATTTTACTATAATGGAAAGAAAAATGCAAACAGGCTAACTACCCGCCAATTTGGTGTAATAAATTATGGTGCATCCACATGACGGAAAATTATTCATTCTCTAAAAATGATCATGAAGATGATTACGCATGGCATGCAGGAGAAGAAAATGCAAAAAAAATTATATATTATGATTGCAGTAAAATGCAAACACATGTGAAAATGTTACCTGGAAATAACGTGAAAAAATCTTAAATGAGTAGTTGTGGTGGTGAAATATCATAAATATTTTTCTTTTCAAATTTTTCCTTAATACTACTGATGGTTCATCTTTCAATTTTTAAAAGATAGATGTTTTATAAAGAGTGCTCCAAGTGTGGTCTGACCAGTTGCTGAATTGAGTAAGTCCATCATCTTCCCTATACTTCATGCAAGGGCTTGGGCTGAATGCAGCCCAGGACCACGAGCACTCTAACATGTTACTGAGCTCAGTGACAACAACAAAAATATTTTATTTTATACTTTGTGGTGCAAAAAAAATTTTAATATAGAACCTTTCCTTTAACCTCATTAAAACTTTCTTTGCTGTATTAGAACCACACTTCTATCTGTTGGCGTATATTTGGCTAACACAGGAAGAATAAGACAATAATTAAGAGCACAGCCAGCCTTCTTTCTTCTGGTTGCATTATCTTGGACAAGTTACTTAGCTTCTCTGTAGTTCCCTGTCTTGTCAGTAAAGGGGGATAACAATAATTGTGTCTACTTCATGGGGTTGTCATAAAGATCCAATGCGATGACCCATGAAAAGCTTGGCCTGTGGCACGTGCTCCATCAGTGGTAGCTATTTATTGTCCTTAGACTTTTAAAAGTGTCCTTATGTTATCAAGCAAATAGGCTCACTTCCTTAAGTGCACAGAAGCCAATACTATGGCACCAGCTTTTGAGAAAAGAAAGGCATTATTGCAAAACTGGCCAGCAAGGAGACAGGAGTGGGAGTCAAATCTATCTCCCCAGTTTGGGATCTGGGATAAGTTTTAAGGGTTCAGAGGGTAAGGGAAAGGATTTAGGAATGTTGGCTTGGCAGAGTCTGATTGGAGGACCTCAAATTTGAACACTTACATAAGGTATGTTGAGGCAGATTTTAGCACCAGATCTTCTAGGCCAAGGGCTCCCTTGCTTCTGAAGGAGTCCTGACATTCAGGTTCTGGTCATGCCCTGATCTTCTTAGTTCCAAGGGAGGAATGGTTGCTTTGGGTGTTGCAAGAGGTCAAAGTTTTTCCTATTGTGAATGCCCAGACTATATGACTTGCAGTTTTGGGCTCTGTTATACCTACAAGGTAACCTGATGTTCTGTTATCAACAGAGTAGGCCCAGTTTGGGATGACGGTACTTACCCCCAACTCATGTAAAAGTTAGAATTACATTGTATCTGGCTCGTGTCCTATCCTGCGTGAACCACATTTTCTTTGAAAAGTCTCATTTCACAGAACCATGCCCATCTCCTATATGAAATTTTTCAAATTTGAATTCCTACCTGTGAGGTTCGTGTGGCATGATTCTAGCCTTCCTCCTCTGTGACAATCCTGAACTGATATGAAACTGTATCTTTCCTTTCTTCTAAATTAAAAAAAAGATATATGGATATACAAAAGAGTATAAAAATAAAGCCACCCTCCTCCTCTCCCAGAGGCAAACATTATTACGTGTTGTGTGTATCCTTTGGAAGTAGTCTATGCATTTTCAAGCATATTCACACTTGCATACATATACCTGTGTACATAGCACATTTTTAACCCAAATTGAATCACACCATACACACTGTCCTACAAGTTGCCCTTTTACTTAGCAATATGCCTTGGAGACTGTTTCATAAAAGCACAAATAACACCTCATTTTTGTTCACAGCTGCACAATTTTCCATTGTATGAAAAAAATCCCAATTTTTTCACCAATTTCATATTGATGTTCAAATGTTTCCATTCTTATGTTATTATAAACATGCTGCAATAAATATCTTTTGCCACATATATACATATTTTATATAGTATATAAACAACTGTAGCACATACATAATTTTGTATGCTCTTTTTTCCACATATACATTTTGGAAGTTTTTGCTATTATAGATAAAGCAAAATAAATATCCTCATTAATTCAAATGTTATAAGAAAATGACATTTTGATTAATTGTGATACTAGCCTTTGTGGGTATAGGATATATTAGAGTTGTCTAGACAAAGCTTCCAGCAGATTACAGAATTCCGCAGAGCCAATGAAATAAGAAAAAAATTGAATGAAATACTTCGTGTCCTTAGCAAACTGTATTAGGCTGTTCTTGCACAGCTATAAAGAAATACCTGACACTGGTAGTTTATAAGAAAAGAGGTGTAACTGCTCATGGTTCTGCAGGCTGTACATGAAGCATAGCAGTATCTGCTTCTAGGGAGACCTCAGGAAGCTTCCAATCATGGTGGAAGGTGAAGGGGGAGTAGGCACATCACATGGGAAAAGCAGGAGCAAGAGGGCGGGGAGGTGCCACACACTTTTGAACAACCAGATCTTGTGAGAACTCACTATTCTAAAGATAGCACCAAGCCATGAGGGATCCACCCCCACGACCCAAACACCTCCCATCAGGCCCCACCTCCAAGAGTGGGGATTACAATTCAACATAAGATTTGGGCAAGGACAAATATACAAACTATATTGCAAACTATTTCTGTCAGTGACAAACCAGAATTGTTAAGAAAAGAAACTTAAGGTCAATATCTCTGTTATAGCAAATGTACAAAAACATCTATTAAATTCCTAGAAATGTAATTGCTGATTTAAAGAATACAAGCATTAGTTGACATATATAGTCAAACTATCCTCTAAAGAGGTTGTTATATACGGTAGCCATCTGCCTCAAGTTTCTTATTATTTATCCATTACCAACAAATTCTATTATATAGACAAAGTTTGATCTAGGGCATCATTTCTTGTATTTGATGCCCTAACATTCTGAGAGGTAAGTCAAGAATTGTTCCCTGCACTGTTCATAGCCAAACAAGGCTTTGGGAAGAGTGCAAATCCATCAGTATTCGTTTCACCAACATTATTTAAGAATTGACTGTCAGGTTCTAAGGGAATATCTGGAAGATCTAGAAATTTAAAATAAGGGTGGCCCTGATTCTGCAGTGTCATTAGTTCATGCTTCTAATGGCGAATCAGCTTAACCATTTGGATCTGATTTGTTGGTTAGTGTCTCTAGACTGTAATGCTAGTTAGTAAAAACCAAAATTGATTTCCAATTTTGTCAGCAGGTTATCCACTCTGTAATTGCCTAAGACACGAAAGGGAGCTTCTAGGGCAGAAAAGCAAAGGCTTGTTTGGCTCTTTCTGGACTACAGATCTTAACTTCTATAGCACTCCTGTGACAAATACTGCTGCCAACAGTTTGCTGCACTGTATCCATCCCTTATACAGAGTCCAGTATAAGAGACTATACTATTAATTCACTAACTCACCAAAAATGTGTAAGGACCCACTATGCCAGACTCTGTTCCAGTGATGTGAACAAACCACACAAAAATCACCACCCTCCTGGAGCTTACATTCTGGTAAAATAAAATAAACAAAATAAGTAAAATATATAGGATGGTAAGAAGTGCTATGAAAAAAATATATAATTTTTAAATTAAAATGGAAAATCCAAACAGGATGGGTGGATTCTATCAATGTTAATATACTGGTTGTAATATTTTTCTATTGTTTTGTAAAATGCTTCCATTGGGAAAAATTGTGTAAAGGGTACATGGGATCTTTCTGTATTAGTTCTTACCACTGCATGTGAATCTACAATTATCTCAATAAAAATTTACATAAACTTTTTTTTTTTTTTGAGACAGAGTCTCTGCTCTGTCACCCAGGCTGGAGTGCAGTGGTGTGATCTTGGCTCACTGCAACCTCCGCCTCCCAGGCTCAAGCGATTCTCGTGCCTCAGCCTCCCAAGTAGCTGTTACTATAGGTGCATGCCACCATGCCCAGCTAATGTTTTTGTATTTTTTGTAGAGACAGGGTTCCACCACATTGGCCAGGCTACTCTCGAACTCCTGGCCTCTAGTAATTGGCCCACCTTGGCCACCCAAAGTGCTGGAATTACAGACGTGAGCCACCGTGCCCTGCCAAAATTTAAAAAAACTTAAATTTTATGGTCTAATTTTAGGTCTAATTTATATAGTGCTGTCAGGTAAGTACTGAAAGGTAACACAGAGTAAAGACCTGAAGTCAGTGGAAGAGCAAGAGATGTGGTAATATGGGGTGACAGTATGCCAAAGGAACCAGAAGAAACAGACAGAACAGGCCAGCAAAGTCCAGGACACAGCTACTAATGAAGTAGATGTCCAGAGAGGAGTGGCTGGACAGAGTAGAATGAGGAGACAGGTCATTGTATAGACTTTGGCTGTTACTCTGAGTAAGAGGGAAAGCAATTGGAGCACTCTGGGCAAAGGAGAAGCACAATCTGACCTAAAGTTTCATTAGTGTCATTCTGGCTGCTATGTTGATATAAGACCATAGAAACTAATAGATGAACCACAGTCTCAGGACATGGATGGCATTTTGCTGAATCACTCAAATGCCAAAGTAAAATGCTTCTGTCCATGCCATTGACTTATACCAGATCCTGAAATGAAACCCAGTGAGTTTCCTCTGATACATAAGAAATACTGTGATGAAATGTACCCCAGCCCGGAAAACTATAAGATGAATTAAAATATCTGAATGCTGTGCATAAACTCCTCCTATGATGTATCCTAGGATGTATGCTTTGCTTATATTTTTTAAACCATCAATACTAAAATTCCATAGGAGAGTAGGTCTAAGCAGTTATAATGAATAAAACGTTCCTTTGAAAAACTATGTTTCTTCTCTTTCCAGAAGAATTTTTAAAATAAATATTATTTTGCTTTTTATGTTTTAAAAGTGTCTCCTGAATTTGACATTTGGAGAATCATACATGGTCTTTAAGCATATGATGGTACAGTGAAAAATAAAGATGTAAATAGAAGAGATACTCTCTTCTTTTGAGACTAATAAATTTAAGAAGAAAGCGGTAATTGATCATTTAGATGAAGACTCTGCAAGAGGCTGGTTTTCATCAGCAGTTTTTCTTCAAGATTGGTGACATCTTTAAATTATTGAAAATGGGAATGTAAATGGTAGCTTACATTCTGTAAGATTCTGGCAACTAGAAATTTCTATCAACTGGTATCTTTATAAACCCAAAATACAGAGCTGGGCGTCGTGGCGCATACCTGTAATCCTGGCACTTTGGGAGGCTGAGTGGGGAGGATCCCTTGAAGCCAGGAGCTCAAGACCAGCCTGGGCAATATAGTGAGACTCCCCCTTGCTACAAAATATACTTTAAAAAATTAACCAAGTGTGGTGTCATACACTTATAATATCAGCTATTCGGGAGGCTGAGGCAAGAGGATCACCTGAATCTAGAAGGTCGAGGCTGCAGTGAGCTATGATCGCCACTGCACTCCAGCTTGGACAACAGAACAAGACTCTGTCTCAAAGAAAAAAATAATAATAAACCCAAAGTACAATGATAATTCACATTCATAATGCTCACATGAGGAAATATCCTGAAACACCTTCTGAATTACATAAGAAAAACTGTGTTCGATACAGAATTTTGAATATGTTATTAATTTTTAAGAAAGTATGCTTTTAAATTGTGTGTAGTATGTTTGATAATAAGCTATTAGCCAGAATATTTCATTACTCAGAACAACATATTCTCCCCCATCTGTGTTGGTTTACTGTATACAATTTCAGACATAAAATTTCTAGACTAAAGCTGTAAAATCTGGTCATTTAATATTTGTAGTAAAAATTTTTATTAAAACTGATTACTATAGAGGCAATCAGAGAATTTCTGTAAGGAACTTTATTTCACTTAACTCAACAGCACCACGTTTTACAAATAAGAATTATCCAAAAATGTTAATACATACAATTAGTTGTAGAGCTGGGATAAGATCCTAGTTTTTCCTGACTTCTAGAGTAGCATGCATTCCCTCCACCACACTCAAACATATACCATTTTATTTTTTATAAATTATAGTACTAGAGAATACAACAGGATTCCAGTATATCCTGTTACTTGGCCTACCAATAGTCTCGTATTTTTTGTTAGTGTATTACCATTATTTTAATATTTTTAAAAATCTAAATAATCTCCATTTGGAGATCAAGATCAATGATTCATTGTATATAAAAGTGTCAACTGATGTGCTCTCCAACTCGCAACAGGTACAAAGTAACTATAAATAACAATACTATTGTACTATGCAAAGTTTCTCTTGCAAGAGTAATTCTTATTCTAGGACCAAGACTTTCCAAAGCAGTAGAAAAACAATATGACAGAGCTGAAATTAATATGTGAATTCAGTCTAGGAATATACATTCATACATTATAAAAGTAAAGAAAGTGAGGACAATAAAAAACTACTTTTTGAGAGAAAAATGAGAGCTCACTATTAATAATATTATAGTATCTGCAAAGGAAAAAAGTTATTGTTCAAAAACTTTTCCTCAGTTATGAAATAGGAGAGAAAATTATTCAAAGATGAAGAAGTCAGAGAAAAATATCTGGAGCTTGCTTATAATATTTCTCATCCTTCTCTCAAATAGCAGTGTAAATAAAAAACTCTCAGCAGCTGGAAAAATCTGCACAGAAAATAAGGTGACAACTCCACAATAACATATGTAAACATTTCCTTTTTAAAATTCACATTTTTAAGATAGATTTTTAAAAATCAAATGTTTATTTTATTTTTAAATTTATGTGTATGTCTAATTTTTATGTGTATGTTTTTCATACATAATTTTTTAATGTGTACATACATATATATATAGAGAGAGAGAGCGAGAAGGAGAGACAGGATCTCACTCTGACACCCAGGCTATAGTGCAGTGACACAATCATAGCTCACTGTAGCCTTGATCTCCTGGGCTCAAGTGATTCTCCTGCCCCAGCCTCCCAAGCAACTGGGACTACAGGCATGCGCCATCATGCCTGGCTAGTTTTTTTCTTTTTGTTAGAGACAGGGTCTCCCTATGTCACCCAGGCTGGTCCAGAACTCTGGGCTTAAGCAATCCTGTCACTTCTGCCTCCTAAAATGCTGGGATTGCAGGTATGAGCCACCATGCCTGGCCCTATATTTTAAATATATCATAAAATATCTTCATTGTCATGTTTAAGTTATTTTAAGAATAATATCTTCTTTTTATTACCTTATGTGCTAATAATTTATATTAAATTTATAATGCTTAATGTTTACATTTTATAAATTTACATTTTACATTTATTGTTTATATACTTATTTGAAATGAATTAAACATTTAATTTTAGTAATTTTTATTTTACTTCTAAAATACGTAAATAGAATATCATCATTCATTCTGTATACCAAATATACAAACATTAAATAGTCTTCTTAAAACACTGTCATGCTCATATGTTGGGCATATTCTTCAACATAACTTGGGACTTCCAAAGCAAGTTATAAAAGACTGAATTAGCCAGGCACAGTGGCTCACACCTGTAATATCAAAACTTTGGGAGGCCAAGGTGAGAGAATGACTTCAGCCCAGGAATTTGAGACTAGCTTGGGCAACATAGGGGGCCCCCCATCTCTATAAGACTGTAGGCTTGCACTTATAGTCCCAGCAACTCGGGAGGCTGAGGTGGGAGGATCACTTGAGTCCAGAAGATCAAGGCTGTAGTGAGCTGTGATCCTGCTGAAACGGGCCTTGTTGTCTGAGGTGGCACCTGAAGTTCTTGGTGTCACGGCCAAGAAAATGAAGGATGCAGACACTCCAAAGGTGAGGTTGGAGCAGAAGTTTAATAAGCGAAAGGAGGAAAGCTCTCTGGAGCAGAGAGGGGTCCCAGAAAGATGGGTTGCCATTTTACAGTGAAGTGCAAGGGTTTTTATAGGCAAGCTGGAGGGGAGGGGTGTTCCATTTGCATAAGGCACAAATTTCTGAGTTCCCACCCCACTCTTTCTAGTGCCCATTCAGCTTCTTAGCCTGAGTTACTCCATGTTGTTTATCTTTTCCTGCTGCGCATGTGTAAAAAAGGTGGGGGAGGGGTGGGGAAGGGGGCGCGGGGGCGCCGGGGCGCCAGAACACCATTTGGTGTTCTTATTGGTGCTGCTGCAGGCACTTCACCTGCACAAGCCTCCTTGTCTGAGTATTTCCGGGAAGACAGGGGACTGTGCTTACTGAGGTCCACTGTATGTCTGTATGTCACACAGGAGACCCCTTTCTGTGTTAGAGCTTGCCTTCATTAACTGTGTTTGCAGCCTGATCTCTCAGGCTGCTCTTTGCTGAAGGAGAAATGACCTCTTGGGCTGCTTTTTATTAGAAGGGAATTCTACCGAGGACCCTTGCCCTATCTGCCTAGTTGATTTCTCTCTCTCTCCTCTCACACTGCTGTACTCCAGCTGGGGTAACAGTGCAAGACCCAGTGCCAAAAAAACAAACAAATAAAGAAATGAAATCAAGAAATAATAGCGATAGAAAAAAGAAATAAAAGCTATAAATCTGTAAGACTCTCCCTTCCAGCCGTGATTGAGGAACTGGTCCTGGGCTAGTCTTTCAGGCATAAACAAATACAAAACTCAACAAAATGGCTCAGTGCGGTGACTCACGCCTGTAATCCCAGCACTTTGGGAGACCAAGATGGGCGGATCACCTGAGGTCAGGAGTTCAAGACCAGCGTGGCCAACATGGTGAAATCCTGTCTCTATTAAAAATACAAAAATTAGCCAGGCGTGGTGGTGCACACCTGTAATCCCACCTACTTGGGAGGCTGAGCCAGAGGAATCGCTTGAACCCAGGAAGTGGAGGTTGCAGTGAGCCAAGATTGTGCCACTGCACTCCAGCCTGGGCAACAGAATGAGGCTCTGTCTCAAAAAAAAAAAAAAAAAAAAAAACCACACAGAACATAATGTATAAATTAACTATTTCAGACATTGCACAACAGGCTAGAATATGATCCCTAGAAGGCTGATACCTGTATCAGAAGACTGTGATCCTTAAAAGGACTGTGATCCCAGCAAGAATTGAAGCAAATGTGCAGTAAGCCGAGATTGCGCCACTGAACGCCAGCCTGGGCAACAGAGCGAGACTCCATCTCAAAAAAAGAAGAATTGAAGCAAATGAGGTGAACCCACAATTGCTCTGCCTTTCTGCTTGGAGGTGCATTTCAGGGCACAGTGCCGGGAGGGAGGCCCAAACTCAGCAGTTTTGCCAAATGGAGGAAACAGATGTTAGAATTCAAAGCCACTGAGGCTCCTGAAGCCTTCAGGGCAGGGTCACAGAGAAAAGGGAGCTGAATAGAAAAGAAACTCCAGATAGCTGGATAGGATAACTCGCATTTTGAGCCCAAAAATAAGCAGCACGTGCCTAGGATGAGGCTTTACAAAAGTAGGCAGCAAAGAAATACCAAGGAAAGATCAACTATGTGCTGGGAAAAGAATAATTACTGGAATCTGGAAGTTGAACAAATACTGGAGCTCACACAGAGAGAGGAGATATTCTAGCTCTGATTAGCCACAGCAGAGAGACCTCATTGAACATCCCAGGCTTTCAACAGTAAGACCAGGCTTTCCAGCAAGACCAGGTCTTCAACGTGGAGCTAATCTAGCTCTAAAGTAAAGGCAATTCTAGAGCCAATAATAAAACTAAAAGACAGATTTGCAAAAATCAAGCTGATCCACGAGTAAATTAACTGCTTGCTGGAACAAACTTCAACATTCTATTAAAGAAAACCACAAATTCCACACACTCAGTGATGCACCATTCATAATGTCCAGTATACAATAAAATTTTTTTTACTAGACAATCTAAGAAACAGGAAATTGTGACCTTAATCAGACAAAAAATCATCAACAAAATAGATTCAGAAACGATAGCAATTTTCAGCAAATAATTTTAAATAGCTGTCACAAATATGTTCTGGAATATAAAAAGAAACATGAACATAACACAGAAACAATCAGAAATATTAATACAAAAATAAAAATACAGGAAAACAACCAAATGGAAAATCTACAATTAAAAATTCAATATCTGAAATTTTTTTTAAACTCACAAGATGGCTTAATAACACATTTTACAGTGAAAAAAAAGGACCAGTGAACTTGAAAATGGGCAATAGAAACTATCTAAGCTGAAACACAAAGGGACAAAGGCTAATAAAAATGACCAGTGTCTCAGTAGCCTTGTGTGCTTATAACTGGAGGACCAGAGGGGTACAAGACAGCAATTGGGGCAGAAAAATATTCAAAAAATGGTCAAAATCTTTCCAAATTTCACAAAAAAATTAAATTCAACAATCCCAAGCAGTACATACACACACCCCCCAAAGCACACCATAATCAAATTTCTGAAAGAAAAAAATCTTAGCCAGGGAATGAAGACACATTACATACCAGAGAATAACGAAAAGTATTTCAACTGACTTGTCAGAATTGATACAAGTCGAAGACAATGGAGCAACATCTTAAGGTGCTGAATGAAAAAACAGCCTAGAGGCCAGGCACGGTGGCTCACGCCTGTAATCCCAGCATTCTGGGAGGCCGAGGTGGGTGGATCACATGACGTCAGGAGTTTGAGAAAAGCCCGGCCAACATGGCGAAACCCCATCTCTACTAAAAATACAAAAATTAGCCAGGTGTGGTGGCGCATTCCTTTAGTCCCAGCTACTCAGGAGGCTGAGGCAGGAGAATCGCTTGAATCCGGGAGGTGGAGGTTGCAGTGAACCGAGATCACACCACTGCACTCCAGCCTGGGTGACAGAGTGAGACTTCGTCTCAAAAAAAAAAAGGAAAGAAAAAACAGCCTAGAATTCTGTATCTACTAAAAATGTCCTTCAAAAATGTAAGTGAAGTAAAGACATTTTCAAATATAGGGTAGGAGAATTCACAGCAGCACTTCAGTATTCCAAGTAACATTAAAGGAAATTCCTCAGGCTGAAAGAAAATAATATCAGATGGAAACTAGAAAGAATAAAAAGCAGAAGAAATGGTAAATATATGAAAAATTTAGGAGATTTTTTCTCATTTCTTAATTTCTGTAAAAGATAATTGACTGTGACTGTTTAGAGCAAAATAATAACAGGGTATTTGTAGGTTATAACTTACAGAAGTACATTCTATAATTATAAATTGTAGGTTGTAAGGTGAATTATATATAAAGTGGTACAATATTATTTGCAGGGAAGCTGGCATACATTTAAGATACATACTATAAAGCATGGTATAGCCGTGGAAAAGAATTAAAGAAGTATAACTAATAAGAAATAGAAGAGATAAAATGTAATTTTTAAAATACTTCTAAAAACACACAGAAAAAACTGAAATAACGATGGAACAAAGAGAAAGCAAATAGCAAAATCATACATTTAAACCAAACTAAATCAATAACTACATTAAAAATAAATGGAATAAACATTTAAGTTAAAAGGCAGAGGTAGTGAGACTGGTATTTTTATTTAAGCAAGATCAAATTATTTGCAGTTTACAAGAGACATACTAAAGAATATCTAAATAAATTGAGAGATATACCATGATCATAAATTGGAAGACTCAATAGTGTTTCAAACATTCTCCAATCTCCTCATGCCCCACTCTCTTTTAGTCTCTCCAGATACATTGAATCTGACTTTTCAGAGAAAATGGAACTATCTTAACTTCTGATTGTAAATATATAAACTTACCTACATCTGTTCCCATCTATCCTCCTTCTTACCCATTAAAATAAAGAAACACTCTGTCCTCCTATACAGGATTAATCTCTCCACCTGTGCATTCTTTAATTCTTCTCAAGTAACTGATTATTTTGCTACCAAATTATTCACTCTTGCTCTTAAAAATTTAAATTCTTGTGGCTGGGGGCGGTGGCTCATGCTTGTAATCCTAGCACTTTGGGAGGCCAAGGCGGGCAGATCATCTGAGGTCAGGAGTTCGAGACCAGCCTGACCAACATGGTGAAACCCCGTCTCTACTAACAATACAAAAGTAGCTGGGCATGGTGGCGCATGCCTGTAATCCCAGCTACTTGGGAGGCTGAGGCAGGAGAATCGCTTGAACCCGGGAGGCAGAGGTTGCAGTGGGCAGAGATTGCGCCATTGCACTCCAGCCTGGGCGACAGAGTGAAACACTGTCTCAAAAAATAAATAAATAAAATAAATAAAATTCTCCCTTTGGTAACTGGATTATTGCCATTCTTTTTTTTTTTTTTTTTTTTGAGATGGAGTCTCACTCTTGTTTCCCAGGCTGGAGTGCAATGGCACGATCTCGGCTCACGGCAACCTCCGCCTCCTGGTTTCAAGCGATTCTCCCGCCTCAGCCTCCCAAGTAGCTGAGATTATAAGCGCCCGCCACTACGCCCGGCCAATTTTTGTATTTTAATAGAGACGGGGTTTCACCATGTTGGTCAGGCTGGTCTCAAACTCCTGACCTCAGGTGATCCGCCCACCTCAGCCTCCCAAAGTGCTGGGATAACAGGTGTGAGCCACCGCGCCCTGCTATTCCCATTCATTTTTAACCCTCTACCACTTAAGAAAACAACAAAATAATTTGGTTCCTATGTCCTGTCATCTACAATCCTAACTCCCTACCTCTCTCTCTTTCTTCACAATCAAAGTCACCCCCATCCACACTGGCGATCATTCTCTCCATGAAATACACTCTTCACTTGCCTTCTGGTCTTCTCACATCTCTTGTTATGAACTGAATCTTTGTATCCTCCTCTCAAAATTCATATGTTGAAGCTCTAACCCTCAATGTGATGGCGTTAGGGGGTGAAGCCTTTGGGAGATAATTAGGTTTAGATGAGATTCTGAAGGTGGAGCCCCAGTGCTGGGATTAGTGCCCTTGTGAGAAGAGGAAGGGACACCATAGCTTCCTGTCTTCACTACTGAGGATACTGCAAGAAGGGCAACCATTCGCAAGCCAGGCAGAAGGTCTTCACCAAAAATTGAATCTTTTGATGACACCTTGATCTTGGACTTCCCATCCTCCAGAACTGTGATGATAAAATGTTTATTGCCTAAATAACCCAGTCTATGGTATTAGTTATAGTAGCCTGAGCTAAGATACCTCTCTGCACACTTTTTCTGTCTAATCTACAGCCTCAGCCTCCTTGACTTTGAATTTAAATGTAGAGCTCTTCAAGGTTCAGCCCTAAATCTGTGCTACTACTACAGCTCCAATCGCAACAGCCTTCCCCTGGCCCCCATATTTACCAGAACCTTTTCCATCCAAATCAGGCCTTTGTATATATTATTATCTCTGTTAGAAAAGTTTCTTTCTCTTTCTCACCAGCCTAAGCATATGTTTTTCACATCTGAGTTAGTTGTCACTTCTGGGAATCCTTCTCCTACTTACCTTGCTAGGTCAAATCCCCCTATTATTTGCCTTCATAGTACTGTGTTATTCTTATGAGTACTAAACACTGTAGCAATCTACACTCTAATTTTTTTAGTGTCTGTCTCTAACACTAGACTGTTAGTTCCTATACACTAAAAGCCTTGATTAATATTTATAGAATATATGAATAAATGTCCTCCCAAAAAATGATTTTATAGATTGTTTTCAACAAATTTTCCTAATGGTCAATAAGTATTTGTTGAAAGAATTAATGAATCTCTTTATGCCCCCACTACCTTTAAAATAGGGGCTTTAAATATATAGAAAATAATTAAAAGTTTAAAATGGCATCTGTATTAGTTTGGATGGGCTAAATAAACTACTCAATCAAATAGACACAAATATATTGTGGCTTGAATACAACAGAAATTTTTGCCTTGTTTATATAATGGTTCAGAATAGGAGTTCAGGTCAGGTGGCAGCTTTTCTCCATGCATTGATTCAGGAACCCCAGTGCCTTTCATTCTGTGGCTTCCCCATGGTCTTCCTATCATCTGCATTTAGCCAATAGAAAAGAGTGCAGAGGAGGAATTCATATTCTCCAAGAAGCCCCCTTCTAGAAGTGGCACACATCACTTCTATTCATCAGGTAACTGACTATACTCTCATTACTCTGCAAGAATAAAAGAATGGATTTTGCAGACAACCAGTGGTCTCTGCTACCATCATCCAAATACAAGGTCTCTTATTATTTTAGTTTTGCTGAGTTTTTTGAACATGTAACTATTACAAATAGTAATAACATTCTGGGTTAAAATTAGGTCATACTGAATGGCAATTTAAAAACTTATCTTACCATCTCCTATTAATGAGAGACAATGGCACTCTAATTTGGTTCCACAAAAATTTGGTTGTTAGGGGATGGAGGGATTGAGGAGATATTGGTCAAAGGACACAAAATTTCAATTAGGAGGAATAAGTTCAAGAGGTCTATTGTGCACCTTGGTGACTATAGTTAATAACAATATAATGTATACTTGAAAATTGCGAGGAGAGTAGACTTAAAGTGTTCTCACCACCAAAAAAAGTAAGTATGTTAAATAATGACTATGTTAAATAGTATGATTTGGCCATTCCCCAATATATCAAAACATCATGTTGTACACCATAAATATATACAATTTTTACTTGTCAATTTTAAAAACTAGGCCAAGAGAGCTTGTTCACCCATTTCCACCATGTGAGGACACAGCAACAAGGCACCATCTATGAACCAGGAAATGGGTCCTCCCCAGACATCACATCTGCTGGTGCCTCGATCTTCGACTTCCCAGTCTCCAGAACTGTGAGAAATAAATTTCTGTTGTTCCTAAGGTATTTTAAAAAATGCAGTTGTGGCAGTTAAGTCTTTTCTCATTCTCTGTTGTGTAAAATATGAAGAGAAAAAGGAAACATACCTGGGATACTATTTGTTCACAGGTAATTCACATAATCTCTTTTAATGACAGTTTAAAAGTTATGAGGGCTAAAAGCTGATTTACTCTCCCAAGATAATCAGTATATAATATATCTATTATATAATAATTATTATATATTATATATAATTATATATGTTCAGCATGTATATTATATATATTCAGCATGTATCATATATATAATATATATTCAGCATGCATAATATATATGCTGAATATTATCTGTTTGCCCCTCCAGATCTACTCTCCACCCTTTTCTGTGCCTCAAGAAGCTGACTGTATGGACTAAATCAACTGACTGTCTTAGCCTCTGGCTTCCCACTGGGTTTAGCCAAAGTAAAGCACAAACAGGATCAAAGCAGACAAGGTGCCACTGGCGAATAGCTCAGCCAAAGGCTGCAACTTCTATCAGGAAGTCCTCTCCCCATAATTCTCGCTCTTCAAGTGCCTGTAATCGTTTCTTCCCCTTCCCCTTCTCCTTTGGGATCAGCAGTGATGTCTCCCTGCTGGCCTGCCCCAGCCTACTGTAATATCTCTTGTGATTTCTCTGAATTCTATCCACACCTTTGCAAATCATTTCTTTATCAAACTCTCCTTAATTATCCATCAATTTCCTGCTTTTGTGAAAGTTTGTAACTACAATTACCTAATACCTACAAGGTACTCTATGGATAGCCCCTTGGACAAAACTGTCATCAATAAGGATGTCTTCAGAGACCCTGCTGTTAAACGCAGGGCTGGATGAGAGGCCAAGGTCAAGTTTGAAAAGAGGTACAAGACAGGCAAGAACAAGTGGTTCTTCCAGGACCTAGATTTTTCAAAGTGATTCCACAGTGTCCTAGTTCTAATATTTAAACCTACATTAGAAAATGTTTAAAAGAAAAAACTTCACCTATGAAAAAAATTGGGGAACACTGAATAAAAAAAACTATTTATATATTGTATACTTCATTTCCCAGGCATTTTTGTTCACAGACTTTTCCCTTTTTATAAAAAAGCACCTAGGAACTAGTGTTCCGCAGAATATAATTGATAAAATTCTGATTTATATCAACAGAAAGAAGAGAAGAAAGACAAATGTAACACTACACAATTTCTAAGAATGCTCATGTTGTTTTTATTTTGGCTTTAAAGCACAGCCAGCCACTCACTTGAAGATAGCATGGTACATACAGTGTTGTCCTTCCACAGACATGTACATACCCTCTGCACCTGGCCTCGGTCCACTGCTAAGACCCCAGGACCCCTCTCTCTGACCTCAAAGTCATCATCCAGGTCACTAGAGATAGCTCACCACAGAAATCTGTGACCATAGACATACAGCCTTGAACTCCAGCTTACATGAGCCGCACTGGACAAAGGAAAACCAACTGAAGACAAATTACCAGAGAGAAAGCATGGAAGCTACCAAATTGTCGGAACCCTTTCATTTCATGGGCTGTATCTGTATTCTATCTACACCTTTGCAAATCATTTCTTTATCAAACTCTCCTTAAATTTCCTGCTTTTGTGAAAGTTTATAACTACAATCACCTAATTTCCACAAGGTACTCTGTGGATATTACACAGAAAGTACTAATTTTTTCTTTCTTTTTATTATTTTAAAGACGGGGTCTCACTTCTTGTCCATGCTGAGGTGCAGTGGCTATTTATAGGCATGATTATAGTATACTACAGCCTCTAACTCCTGGGCTCAAGTGATCCTCTCACCTCAGCCTCCCACGTAGCTGGGACGACAGGCACATGCCACTGCACCCAGTGTGTACTAATTTTCAAATTGAAGATTTCAGAAACACTGAACTTGGAAAGACCCTGAGAGATGACTTTTTTCACTTTCAAATCAGTGCTGAGTCATCTCAGATACTCAATTATCTGTTTTTTAAAAAATTTAAACCTCCAAGCAGATCACGATGCCTTTCCTCTTCTTTGTGTTTTCTGTTTATATCCTTAATAGCACCTACCACATTGATTAGTAATTGATAGTTTAATGTTCTGTCTCTTCAAACATAATGCAAGCTCTTTCAGGTAAGAAAATGAATCATTGTTGTTAAAGCCTTAACACTTGACCCAGTATATATTTAATAAAAATTTTTGAACAAACGAAAAACATTGGCCAAATGAATAAATGTTTCCTAATAATGTTGGTAAATGTTGGTAAGTTCTTTCACTATCAATCGTATCATAAAATTTTTCTTAATACCAACTTAAATGCCATTTTGTGTATAGAAAAATCCCTAAAAGATCCTAGAGGTTATCCACTCTGGGCAGAGGTGCATTTAAAAACTAAAGTTTTTCCTTCTTTCCTTTCTGCTGTAGGCCCCAGTGGTTACTGTCAAAATGGGCAAGTTCCTGAAACCTCGGAAAGTGGTGTTTGTCCTGGCTGGATGCTACTCCAGACACAAAGCTGTCATCGTGAAGAACATTGATGATGGCACCTCAGATCGCCCCTACAGCCATGCCCTGGTGGCTGGAATTGACCACTATCCCTGCAAAGTAAGAGCTGCCATGGGCAAGAAGAAGATCACCAAGAGGTCAAAGATCAAGTCTTTTGTGAAAGTTTATAACTAATCACCTAATGCCCACAAGGTACTCTGTGGATATCCTCTTGGACAAAACTGTCATTAATAAGGATGTCTGCAGACACCCTGCTCTTAAACCCAAGGCTGGACAAGAAGCCAAGATCAAGTTTGAAAAGAGGTACAAGACGGGCAAGAACAAGTGGTTCTTCCAGAAGCTGCAGTTTTAGAGGCTTTGTTTTGGTCATTAAAAATTAAAAAGAAAAAAAAAACTACTTTTCTTGGGTTTTGTTCATTGTATTTCTTTTTAATCTTCAGAGAAGAAAATATATAACCATCCTTGCAGATGTATTTCAATTTCACAAACCTTTAGAATTAGAAAAATTCCTCCTCCTAGCTACAGAGTCTCCATCCAAATATGTACATGGGCTTGACAAGCAAGGTAAATGAGTTAAGGAAGGTGTTTTGTCATAAGACCTGAAACTAAGATGCAGTGTTCTGTGCTGCTTCGATATCTGGTGAAATCAGGAGGGCCTTAAATGGCCTAAATGTAAGTTCCCCTGCTGCTCTGTTCCCAGAGATAAGATTCCCTAGCCAAATAACCCTCTGTATCAAGAGAACCAGGTGTAGTTCCTGCTTATCTCTGAGTAGTGAATTTCCGTTCCCTATCAGCCTGTGATATTATTCAAACAAGCGAATCACACCTTCCTGTTGGAACCAAGGGACACCTCACCCTTTAGATACTACAAAGCCTGTCTCCCAAAGCCCGTCCTTGTTCACTGTGTTCCTGAGTGCAACTCCGATGTGGCCCTGTGTGGCATACAATGTCCTCCTCCTCAGGCAGTGAGTATATGTGATGAATAAACTGCTGTTGATCTTACCTGTCCAGTGTTGGGTGTCAGGTGTTTGGCCGTTTCCATAAACCTAGGTCAAGAATCACTTCCTCAACGACAGAGTGAACAGGAGGCAATTAAAACAGGTACGGACCTGGTATGGGAAAAACGATTGCTGGGGAAAGAACTGTAACAATACCCGGCGCTAGTGGCTTAGAGCTAGAAGTGGGGGAAACCATGGAGGTCTGGACAGGACAGACCCCAATTTAAGTAAGCAGCTACTGTTCAGCACGAGTCTATTGTAGACAGGCTAGTCACAACAATACACAGTATTGCCAAACATTTCAAGAGACACTGGAAATCTGGATTTTATGTCAAAATTCTCACTTTTTAAAAGTTGGAAACTTCTTCCTTTCTTTCATTTTCCCTCTCCTTTTCCCACTCTCTGTCTCTCAGCCCAACCAAAACCCATCAGGGGTGGTTTTGTGAGGTGCCAGTTTGTAACCTGTCCTAGAAGTTAAGCCTAGTCCCTAGAACACTGCTCTGATCCCAACACTTAAATAACATTCTGCCATTACATCTTCTAATATCACATATACTAACATTGCTGATTCAAGTTAGATTTACTATACCCCTGAAATTTAAATCTTAGCCATATTTATCTATAAGTCCCCATTATATATTAGGGCAGTCTTATTTTTCCTCCTAGCAACAATTCACTACACTGCATTTTATTCTGACCACATTTCACACTCCCTCAATTACTAAGTCATTTTGAATTCTAATAATATCCTTCCAGGCACTTCCAATCACACTCAGCTTGTGCTGTTCCTTCCATTATATCATTCCAAACATCAAAAAATATAAAGGAATCTAGCTTAAAAATAAGACTTCTAAAACACCCGTTGTTATGTTCCTCCCAAATTGACATGACACAAATAATAACTTTCTTAACTATTTCCAGGAAATGTAATAGTGCATTTTTTCTAAATTGTCACTTTTTAAAGACTGGTAAATACGAGTTTCAGAAGAATTAATATAATTGCTATGGGGAGAAACAACAGTACTCTTTAACCATGCCAAAACATTTTAATAAGTTTGATGAATTTAAAAGCATATTTAAGACCAGGCACAGTGACTCACACCTGTAATCCCAGCACTTTGGGAGGCCGTGGCAGAAGGATTGCTTGAGCTTAGGAGTTCAAGACCAGCCTGGGCAACATGGCAGAAACTCCATGTCTACCAAAAATTCAAAAAATTATCTGGCCATGGTGGCACATGCCTGTGGTCCCAGCTATTCAGGAGGCTGAGGTGGGAGGATCACTTGAGCACGGGAGGTGGAGTTTGCAGTGAGCCATGATCATGCCACTGTACTCCACCCTGGGTAA